>NC_000009.12:105796309-105947824 GCF_000001405.40 Homo sapiens
ATCATCCTTTCCCCCCGTGGATATTAGGAACAATATCGCAGAAAAGGTGTACACCCACTGTGATATTGGAAGTAATGTCATCCTCTCCTTTCCTAAATATTAGAAGCTATATCACAGAAGAAGTGTATATCTTCTTGGAAATTGGGAGTCATCCTCTCCACTGCTCAATATTAGAAACAATATCACAGGGGGGTGTACAGCCCCCCTGCGATATTGGGAGTAACATCATCTTCTCCCCCCCGGATATTAGGAACAATATCGCAGGAAGGTGTACATCCTTTTCGCTATTGGGTTGGGAGTAATATCATCCTCTCCCTCCCTGGATATTAGGAACAATGTCCCGAGGGGGTGTACAACCCCTGCGATATTAAGAGTAATATCATCCTCTTTCACCCTGGAATTTGGAACAATATCACAGGGGGAGTGTACACTCCCTGCGATATTGAGCGTAATGTAACTCCCAATTTGAATATTAGAAAAAATATCAGGAAGGAGTTACACCCTGTGTGATATTGGGAGTAATATCATCTTCTCCCCGCACCGGACTGTAGGAACAATACCGCAGGGTGGGTGTGTACACTCCATTCAAAATTGGGAGTAATATATTACTCCACCTTCTGGATATTAAGAGCAATATCACATGGGGGTGTACACATCCTGCAATACTGGGAGTGATATCATTCTTTTTCCCACCCTGGATATTAGAAACAATATCATGGGATGGTGTATTCCCTCTTGTGATATTGACAGTTATATGATTTCTCCATCCTTGGATATTTGGAACAATACCACGAGAGGGGTGTACAAACTCTGCGATATTGGGAGGAATAGCATCCCAACCTGGATATTAAAAACAGTATCACAGGGGGGCTGTACACTCCCTGTGATATTGGGAGTTATATCATCCTCTCCCTATTTGGATATTAGGAAAAATATCACAGTGCGGGTGTACAACCCCTTCAATATTGGGTGTAATATTATCCCCTCTCCCCCTGGATATTAGAAACAATATCACAGGTATGTGTACACCCATTGCGACATTGAAAGTAATATCATTCTCTCCCCCCATGGATATTAAGAAGAACATCAGACGGGGTATGTACACCTTCTGCGATATTGAGAGTAATATCACCCTCTCCCTTTTGGATATTAAAAAGAATATCACAGGGGGTGTGTACTCCTCCTTCGATATTGGTGGTAATATCATCCTCTCCCCTACTTGATATTAGAAACAATATCACAGAAGGGGTGTACACCTTTTGTGATACTGGGAGTAATATCATCATCTCCTCTTCTAAATATTAGGAACTGTATCAAAGGAGTAATGTACACACCCTACGATATAAAGAGTAATATCATTCTTTCTCCACCTGGATATTAGGAACAATATCACAATATTAGAAGTAATATCATCCTCTAACCCCTGGATATTAGGAACAATATCGGGGGTGGACATATCCTGTGATATTGGGTGTAATATTATCCTTTATGCCTCTGGATATTAAGAACAGTATCACAGGAAATGTGTACACCTTCTGCGCCATTGGGAGTAATATCATTTTCTCCCCCCATGGATATAAGAAACAATATAATGGGGGGGAGTGTACACCCCCTGCGATATTCGAAGTAATATTATCGTCTTTCATTGTGAATATTAGGAACAATATCCCAAAGACGGGGTGTAACCCCCCTGCGATATTGGGTGTAATATCATTCTTTCCTTCCCTGTATATTAGGAACAATATCAGAGGAAGCCTGTACCCCCCCCCCCTGCGATATTGGAATTAATACCATCTCCCTTACTGGATATTAAAAGCAATATCGCAGAGGGAATGTAGGGGGTGTACACCCCCTGTGATATTGTGAATAATATTATATACTTTCAACCTCGATATTAGGATCTATATCACAGAGGAGGTGTAGACTCTCTGCGATATTGGGAGTAATATTATCCTCTCCCCCTTTGGATATTAAAAACAATATCTCAGGGGGGTGCACACCCTCTGCAATATTGGAAGTAATGTCATCCTCTGCCCCCCTGTATAATAGAAAAAATATCACAGATGGGGTGTACACATTCTGCGACATTGGGGGTAGTATCACTTTCTCTGAACCTGGATATTAGGAACAATATCACAAGGTGGGTGTACACCCCCTGCGGTATTGGTAGTAATATCATCCTTTTTCTCCCTGGACAGGACAATCTATATGACAGAGGGGCGTACACTCCCTCTGATATTGGGGGTGATAACATCCTCTCACCCCTGAATATTAGGAACACTATCACATTTGGCGTGTACATCCCCTGCCATACTGGAAGTAACATCATTCTCTCTTCCCATGGTTATTAGGAACAATATCTCAGGCGGTGTGTACACCTCCTGCGATATTGGGAATAATATCATCCTGTCCCCACCTGGATATATTAGAAACAATATCACGGGGGGGTATACACCCTCTTCAATATTGGGAGGAATTTCATCCTTTTCCCCCGGGGATATTATAAACAATATCACAGGGGGGTGTACATCCTTTGCGATATTGACAGTCATATTATCGTCTCCCCCCTTGAATATTAGGAACAATATCACAAGAGGGGTGTATGCCCCCTACGATATTGGAAGCAATATCATCCTCTCCCCCCTGGGATATTAGGAAAAATATCACAGAGGGGTGTACACCCCCTGAGATATTGGTAGTAGTATCCTCTCACCCTAAATATTAGAAACAATATCACAAAGGGGGTGTACACCTCCTGGGATATTGGGAGTAATGTCAACTTCTACCACCTAGATATTAGGAACAATTTCACAGGAAGTGTGCACACCACCTGGAATATTGGAAGTAATATCAACCTTTCCTTACCTGGATATTAGGAAAAATATCAGGGGGTTTACACCCCCTGCGATATTGGGAATAACATCATCTTGTCTACTACTTGATATTAGGAACAATATCGAAGGTGGTGTACACACCCTGCGATATTGGGAGAAATATTACCTTCTCCCCCTGGGATATTATAAACAATATCATGGGGGTGGTGTACACCCTCTGAGATGTTGGGAGTAATATCATCTTCCCTTTCCCTGGATATTAGGAACAATATCACAGAGGTGGTGTACATTTTCTGCTAAATTTGGAGTAATATCATCCTCTTTTAACCTGGATATTAAAAACAATAGCACAGGGGAGGTGTACACCCCCTGCGATATTGGGAGTAATAACATCCTCTCCCCACCTGGATATTAGGAACAATATCACAATATCACAATATTACAGTTGGGATGTATTATTCCCAACATTTTGCAATGTTGGGAATAATATCCTCTTCTTTCCCCCTGGATATGAGGAAGATTATCACAGGGCTGATAAACACCCCCTGCCACATTTGGAGTAATATCAACACCCCCGGATATTAGGAACAATATCACATTGGTGTGTACACCCCTTGCCATATTGAAAGTAATATCATCCTTTCCCCCACTGGATATTAAGAGGAATATCACAGGGGTGTGTACAACCTCTGCAATATTGGAAGTAATATCATCCTCTCTACCCTGGATATTAAATATCACAGGAAGTGTGTACCCCCCCTGCAATATTGGGGCTAATGTTATCCTCTGCCCCCCTGGATATTAGACACAATGTCACAGGGGTGGTGTACATCCCATGTGATATTGGGAATAGTATCATCCTCTCCCCCTGGAATGCTAGATAGAATATCACAGAGTGGTATATACCCCCTGTGATATTGGTAGTAGTATCATCCTCTCACCCTTAAATATTAGGTACAAAATTACAAAGTGGGTGTACACTCCCTGCGATATTGGAAGCAATGTCATGCTCTACCCCCTAAATATTAGGAACAATACCACAGGGGGTGTGTACACCACCTGCAATATTGGAAGTAATGTCAACCTCGTTCCACCTGGATATTACAAACAATATCACACGGGTGGTGTACACCCACTTTGATATTGAGAGTAATATCATCCTCTCCCCCCTAAATATTAGGAACAGTATCACAAAGGGTGTGTACACCCCCTGTGATATTGGGAGTAATGTCATCCTCTCCTCCCTGTATATTAGGAAAAATACCTCACGAGGGTGTACACCCCCTGCGATATTGGGAGTAATATTATCTTCCCCCCTGGATATTTGGACCAATATCACAAAAGGGTGTACCCACCCTGTGATATTGGGGGTAATATTATCTTCTTCTCCCCCGGATATTACAAACTATATCAAAAGGGGAGTGTACACCCTCTGTGATATTGGGAGTAAGATCATTCTTTTTCATTCTGGATATTAGGAACAATATTACACGGGGGGTGTACACCCACTGTGATATTGGGAGTAATATTTTCTTCTTCCTCCCTGGATATTAAAAATAATATCACAAGGGTGGTGTACATCTTCTGCGACATTTGGAGTAATATCATCCTCTCCCAACTTGGATATTAAAAACGTTATCACAAGGGAGGTGTACATCCCCTGCCATATTGGTAGTAATAACATCCCCTTCCACCCTGATATTAGGAACAATATCACAGGGGCGTGTACACCCCTTGCAATATTAAGAGTAATAACATCTTCTCTCCACCTGGGTATATGGAAGAATATCACAGGGTGGGTGTACACCTACTGCGATATTAGGAGTAATATAATGCTCTCACCCTCTAAATAGTAGGAACAATATTACATTGATGTGCACATTCTTTGTGATATTGAAAGTAATATCATCCTTTCCGCCCCCTGGATATTACGAAGAAGATCACAGGTTGGTGTACACCTTCTGCGATATTGGGAGTAATATCCTCTCCTCCCTGGATATTAAAAACAGTATCACGGGATGTGTGAAACCTTCCTGCGATATTAAGAGTAATATCCTCCTCTCACCCGCTGGATATTAGGGATGAAATCACAGGGACGTAATATCATCTTCTTCCCCTCTGGATATTTCTAGGAATAATATCACAGGAGGGTTGTACACCTCCTGCGATATTGGAGTAATATCATTCTGTCCCCCCTGAATAGCGGGAACAATATCACAGGAAGAGTGTACATTCCCTGCAATATTGACAATAATATCATCCTCTTCCCCCTTGGATTAGGAACAACATCATAAGGGGGGTGTACACCCTCTTCGATATTGGGAGGAATATCATCCTTTCCTTCCCTGGATATTAGGACAATATAACAGGGTTAAGGTACACCCCCTGCAATATTGGGAGTAATGTCATTCATTCCTTATAAATATTAGGAACAATATCCCAAAGAGTTTGTACACCCCCTGCGATACTGGGAGTCATCTCATACTCTCCCCTCTGGATATTATGAAAAATGCCACAAGGGGTGTGAACATCCCCTGCAATATTGGGAGTAATATCAACCTCTTCCCTTCTGGATATTAGGACCAGTATCAGAGTGTGTACACACACTGCGATATTGGGAGTAATATCATCCTATTTCCACCTGGATATTAAATACTATATCACAAGGGAAGTGTACACTTCCTTCAATATTGGGTGTAATATTATCCTCTCCCACCTTGGATATTGGGAACAATATCATACCGAGTTGTACACCCTCTGCAATATTGGAAGTAATATCATCTTCTCCCCCGCCTGCATATTAGGAACAATATCACGAGAAAAGTTGTACACCCCCTGCAATATTAAAAGTAATGTCATCCTGTCTTCCCCTGAACATAAGAAACAATAACACAGGGGGGTTTACAACCCCTGCGATACTGGGAGTAATATCATCTTCTTCTCCCCTGAATGTTAGGAACAATATCACAGAAGGCATGTACATCCCCTGTGAAAATGGGGGTAATATCTTTTTTTTTTTTTTTTTCATACGGAGACTCGCTCTGTCGCCCAGGCTGGAGTGCAGTGGCGCGATCTCGGCTCACTGCGAGCTCCGCCTCCCGGGTTCAAGCCATTCTCCTGCCTCAGCCTCCCGAGTAGCTGGGACTACAGGCACCTGCAACCACACCCGGCTAATTTTTTGTATTTTTAGTAGAGACGGGGTTTCACCGTGTTAGCCAGGACGGTCTCGATCTCCTGACTTCATGATCCGCCTGCCTCGGCCTCCCAAAGTGCTGGGATTACAGGCGTGAGCCACCGCGCCCGGCTGGTAATATCATTTTTACCCTCCAAAATATTAAAAACAATATCACCTGGGGGGTGTACATCCTCTGCGATATTGAAAGTAATATCATCTTCTCCCCATTTGAATATTAGGAACAATATACCAGGGGTTTGTACACTCCCTGCGATATTGGAAGTAATATCATCCTCTCCCCCCTTGAATATTAGGAACAATATCTCGGGGGGGGTGTACACACTCTGAGATATTGGGAGTAATATTATCTTCTCCCTCCCTGCATATTAGGAACAATATCACAGGGTTTGGGTACACCTTATGCGATTTTGGGAGTAATATCATCCTCTCTCACCCTGGATATTAGGAACAATATCACAGGGGAGGTGTACACCCCATGCATTATTGAGAATAGTATAATCCTCTCCCCCCCCCGGATATTAGAAACAATATTACAGGTGGGTGTACACCCCTGCAATATTGGGAGTAATATCGTCTTCTCTCTCTCCCCCTGGATACGAGGAAGAATATCACAGGGTGGGTGTACACCCCCTGTGATATTTGGAGTGATATCATCCTCTCCCCTCCTGGATATTAGGAACAATATATCGCATTGATGAATACACCGCCTGCAATATTGAAAGTAATATCATTCTTCCCCCCATGGATATTAGTAATAATAGCACAGGGGTGTGTACACCGTCTGTAATACTGGGAGTAATATCATCCTCTCCTCCCTGGATTTTAAAAACAATAGCACAGGAAATGTGTACCCCTCTGCAATATTGGGAGTAATATCATCCTCTCCCCTCACGCATATTAGGGACAATATCACAGGGTGTGTACACCTCCTGCGAAATTGGGAGTAATATCATCCTTCTCCCCTCTGGATATTAGGAACAATATCACAGGGGGAATGTACACCTCCTGCAATATTGGAATAATATCATGCTCTCCCCACCTGAATATTAGAAACAGAATCACAGAAGGATTCTGTACACCCCTTGCGATATTGAGAGTAATATCGTCCTCCCTTCCTCAGAATATTAGAAACAATATCACGGGGGGGGTGTATAGCCCCTGCAATATTGGGAATTATATCATCCTCTGCCCCTCTAAATAGCAGGAACAATATCAAAGCGGGAGTGTACACCCTCTGCGATATTGATAGTAATATCATCGCCTCCCCACTTTGATATTAGGAACAATATCACAAAAGGGGTGTACACCCCCTGTGATATTGGGAGTAATATTATCCTCTCTCCTCCTAAATATTAGAAACTATATCACAGGGGTGGTGTACACCCCTTGCAATACTGGAAGTAGTATCATTCTCTCCCTCCTAAATATTAGTAACAATATCCCAAAGAGGGTGTACACACCCTGTGATATTGGGAGTAATATCATCTTCTCCCCACATGGATATTAGGAACAATATCACAGGGATGTGTGCACCCCCTGAGATATTAAAAGTAATATCATCCTCTTCCCCCGTCGATATTAGGAACAGTATTACAAGGTGGTGTGTACATCTCCTGAGATATTGGGAGTGATATCCTTTCTTCCCCTGTATATTAGGAACAGTATCACAGGGGGCGTGTACACCTTCTGTGTTATTGGAATTAATATCATCCTCTCTCTTACTGGATATTAAAAACAATATCACAAGAGGGGCGTACACCCCCTGAGATGTTGAGTGTAATATCGTATTCTTTCGGCCTCGATATTAGGAACAATAGCACAAAAAACTGTCCACTCCCTGCGATACTGGGAGTAATGTCATCTCTTTCCCCCCTGGATATTAGAAATAATATCTTCAGGGATGCTCACCGCTTGCGATATTGGGAGTAACATTATCCTCTCCTACCTGGATATTAGAAAAAATGTCGCAGAAGTGGTGTCCACCCTCTGCAATATTGGGTGTAGTATCATCCTCTCCAAACCTGGATAGTAGGAACAATGTCACAAGGGAGGTGTACACCCTCTGCAATATTGGGAGTAATAGCATTCTCTTCCTCCCGGACAGTAGGGACTATATCACAGGGGGTTTTGTGATATTTGGGAGTAGGATCATCCTCTCCCCTGGATATTAGCAACACTATCATATTTAAGGTGTACACCACCTGCCATATTGGAAGTAACATCATCCTCTTTTCCCGTAGTTATTAGGAACACTATCTCAGGCGGTGTGTACACCTCCTGCGATATTGGGAGTAATATCATCCTGTCCCCAACTGGATATTAGGAACAATATCACGGGGAAGTGTACACCCTCTTCAAAATAGGGAGTAATATTATTTTCTCTACCCCGGAATATTAGGAAGAGTATCACAGGGCGTTATACACCCCCTGCGATATTGACAGTAATATCATAGTCTCCCCCTTTAAATGTTAGGAACAATATTACAAGGGGGTGTATGCCCCCTGTGATATAAGGAGGAATATCATCCTCTACCTCCTGGGATATTTGGAACAATATCACAAAAGGGTGTACACCCAATGTGATATTAGTAGTAGTATCATCCTCTCACCCCTAAATATTAGGAGTAATATCCCAAAGGGAATGCACAATCCCTGTAATATTGGGAGTAATGTCATCCTCTACCCCTTGGATATTAGGAGCAATATCACAGGGGTTGTGTACCCCACCTTCAATATTGGAAGTAATGTCAACCTCTCCCCACCTGGATATTAGGAACAATATCACGGGGTCAGTACACCCCCATTGATATTGGAAGTAATATCATCCTCTAGCCCCTAAATATTAAGAACAATATCACAATATCACAAAGAGGATCTACAGCCCCTGTGATATTGAGAGTAATATCATCCTCTCCCCCTTGAGTATTAAAAAAAATCACAGGGATGTGTATAACCTCTGCGATATTGAAAGTAGTATCATCGTCTCCTCCCCTGGATATTAGGTAGAATATCACAGGTGGTGTGTACACCTGCTGGGATACTGGGAATAATATCATCCTCTCTCCCCTGGATATTAAAAACAATATCACGGGGGGGTGTACACTCCCTGTGATACTGGGAGTAATATCATCCTCTCCCCCCTAAATATTAGGAACAATATAACGGGGGGGGGTGTACACTTCCTCGGCATTGGGAGTAATATCATCTTCTCCCCCTCTGGATATTAGGAACAATATCACAGAGAGGGTGTACAATTCCAGCTATGTTAAGAGTAATATCTTTTTCTCCCCCACTGAATATTAGAAACAATATTATAGGAGAGCTGTACACCAACTGTGATATTGGGAATGATATCATTCTCTACCCCCTGAATATTAGGAACAATATCACTGGGGGTTGTACACCACTTGTGATATTGGAGGTAATATAATTCGCTCTTCCCCAGGATATTAGGAACAATATCATAAAGGGAGTACACTCCCTGCTCTATTGAGAGAAATATTATTTTCTCCCCATCTGGATATTAGGAACAATATCACATATCATCCCCTTCCAACCTGGATATTAGAACAAATATTACCCCCTACGAGATGGGAGTAATATCATCCTCTACTTCCTGGATATTAAAAAGAATATCACAAAGGGAGTGTACACCCCTGCGATATTGGGAGTAATATCATACTCTCCCCTCCTGGGTATTAGGAACCATATCGAAAAAGGGGGTGAACACTCCCTGCTATATTGGGAATAGCAGCATCCTCTCCATGCCTGGATATTAAAAGCAATATCATGGGGGTGAGGTTTACACTCCCTTCGATATTTGTATTAATATTATCCTCTCTTCCACTGAATATTGGGAGCAATATCACAGGGTAGGTGTAAACCCCCTGTGATAGTTACAGTAATATCGTCATTTCCCACATTGAAAAATACTAATATCACAAGTGAGGTTTACACTCCCTGCGATATAGTGAGTAATATTATCCTCTCAATTTTTAATATTAGGAACAATACACAGGGGGGATGTACACTGTGATATTGGGAATAATATCATCTTCTTCCTCACTTGTTACTAGGAAAAATATCACAGGGGTGTGTATGCCTCCTGAGGTATTGGGAGTAATATCTTATACACCCCCACCCCCAGCGATTTTGGCAGTAATATTGTCATCTTCCGCCCTGGATATTAGGAACAATATCACAAAGAGGGCATACACATCCTGCGATATTGGGAGTAATATTATCCTCTGCCCCCCTCGATATTAGGAACAATATCACAGGGAGGGTGTACATGGCCCGTAATATTGGGAATATTATCCTCTCACCCATAGGATACTAGGAACATTATTATAGGGATCTGTAAACCCCTTGTGATACTGGGAGTAATGTCATCCTCTCCGCCCCTGGATATTAGGAACAATATCACAGAGGGGGTGTACACCTCCTGCGCTATTGGGGATAATATTGTCGTCTCCAGCCGTGGATATTAGGAACAATATTACAAAATAGGTATACAACCCTGTGATAGTGGAATTAATATCCTTTGTTCTCCCCCTGGATATTATAAACAAAATCACGAGGGGGGAGGTGTACACCCCCTGCGATATTGGAAGTAATGTCATCCTCTTTCCTCCTGTATATCTTGAAACGTATCACAGAAGAACTGTACAGTTTCTCTGATATTGAGAATAATATTCTCCTCTCCTCCACTCGATATTAGAAACAATAACGCAGGTGGGGTGTACCCCCTCTGTCATACTGGGAATAATATCATTGTCTCCCCCCCCATGGATATTAGGAACAATATCACAGGAAGGTGTACACTTCCTGTGCTATTGGGAGTAATATCATCCTCTCACCCTCTCTATATTAGGAACAATATCTTAGGGAGTGTGTACAATCCCTGTGATATTGGGAGTAATATCCTCTCCCCCGCTAAATATTAGGAACAATATTACGGGGCAGTGTACACCCCCAGCGATATTGAACGTAATATAACCCTCTTCCAACCTGGTTATTACGAACAATATCACAGGGGCGATGTGCATTCCCTGTAATACTGGGAGTAATATCAACTTCTCCCCCCATCCCGGGGCAGTTGGAACAATATTACAGAGGGGGTTTACACCTTCTGTGATATTGGGAGTAATAGCATTCTCTCCCTTCTGATTATTAGAAACAATATTACATGAAGGGTTTACACCTCCTACAATAGTAAGAGTAATATCCCCTTCCTCCACCCTCGCATATTAGTAAAAATATCAGCGGGCTGTATACCCCCCGTGAAATGGACAGTAATATCATCTTCTCCCTCCTTGGATATTAGAAGAAATATCACACGGGAGGCATACACCCCCTTCGATATTGGGAGTACTCTCATCCTCTCCCCACCTGGATATTACTAACAATATCACAGGGGGATGTACACCTCCTAAGATATTGGGTGTAATATCCTCTTCCCACCTGGATATTGGCAACAATATCATAGGGGGTGTGTACATTCCCTGCGATATTGAGAGTAATATCATCCTCTCCCCCCTAAATATTAAAAACAATATCACAGAAATGGTGTACACCCCCTGCAATATTGGTAGTAATATCAGCATCTCTCCCCCTTGGATATTGGAAACAATATCACAGAAGGGGTGTACACTCCCTGGGATTTTAGGAGTTATATCATCTTTTCCTCCATTGATATTAGAACTATAAAAAGGAGTGGTGTACACACTCTGCAATATTAAGAGTAATATTCTCTCCCCACCTTGATATTAGGAACAATATCACAGGGGGAGTGTACATCTCCTGTGCTATTGGGAGTAATATCTCTATTACCCATAATACTGGAGGTGTACATCTCCCCTGTGATACTAGGAACAATATTACAAGGAGGATATACACCCCCTGCAATATTGGAAGTAACATCCTCCTCTCTCCCCCTGGATATTAGGAACAATATCACAGGGGGTGTGAACAACCCTGTGATATTGTTCGTAATATTCAGGGGAAAAGATATTATTTTTGATAATGTAAATACCCTGTGTGTACAACATCGGTGATATTGTTTGTAATATCCAGGGGTAGAGAAGATAATATTACTTCCCATGTTGGTGTACACCCCTTTGTGGTATTGTTCCTAATATTCAGGCGGGAAAGGATGATATTACACTTCATATCACAGGGGGTGTACACCCCCCTGTGATATTGTTCATAATATCCAACGGGGCAGGAAATGATATTACTCCTCAGTATTGCAGAGGGTGTAGACTTCCCTGTGATATTTTTCTTAATATCCAGGAGGGGAGAGGATAATATTACTCCTCATATCGCAGGGGGTGTACACCCTTCTGTGATATTGTTCGTAATAACCGGGGAAGGAGAAGATAATATTACTCCCCATAATTGCAGGAGGTGTACACCCCCTGGTGATACTGTTCGTAATATCCAGGGGGGAGAAGATTATATTACTCTCCATATCACAGGAGGCTTACACACTCCAGTGATACTGTTTGTAATATCCAGGGGGGAGAGTAAAATATTACTTCCCATATCGCAGGGTGTGTACACGCTCCAGTGACATTGTTTGTAATATCCAGGGGGGAAAAGAATAACATTACTCCCCATATTGCAGGGGGTGCACACCACCCTTTGATATTGTTTGTAATATCCAGGGAGAAAGAGGATAATATTACTCCCCATATTGCAGGGGGTGTACCCCCCCCGTGATATTGTTCATAATATCCAGGTGTGGTGAGGTGGATATAACTCCCCATATTGAAGGGGGTGTTCACCCCACTGTGATATTGTTCATAATGTCCAGAAGGGGAGAGGATAATATTACTCCCTTATCGCAGGTGGTGTACATCCCCCTGTGATATTATTCAAAATAGACAGAAGGAGAGAGGGTGATATTACTTCCCTGTGATATTGCTCATAATATCCAGAAGGGAAGGGATGATATTACTCCCCATATCACAGTCGGTGTACACCCCCCTGTGATATTGTTCATAATATCTAGGGGGGAGAGAATAACATTACTCCCAATATCACAGGGGGTGTACATTTTCCTGTGATATTGTTCATAATATCCAGGAAGGGAGAGAATGATATTACTCGCAATATCATAGGGGGTGTACACCCAACTATGACATTGTTTGTAATGTCCAGTGGAGAAAGAATAATATTACTTCCAATATCACAGACGGTGTACACTCCCATGAGATATTCTTCATAATACCCAGATGGGGAGAGGATGATATTCCTGTGAATATCGCAGGAAGTGAACACCCCACTGTGGTATTGTTTGTTATATCTGGGGGGAAGAGGATGGTATTACTTTTAATATTGCAGATGGTGTACCACCCTTTGTGATATTTTTGATAATATACAGTGTAGGAAGGATGATATTACTCCCAATATCTCAAAGGGTGTTCCCCTTCTGTGATATTTTTTGTAATATCCAGGAGGGTAGAGAATGATATTACTCCCAATATCGCAGGGGGTGTACACCTTCTGTGACATTGTTCCTAATAGCCAGCAGGAAAGAGGAAGTTATTGCTCCCAATATCACAGGGGGTATACACCCCCTTGTGATATTGTTCCTTATATCCTGGGAGGGAGATGATGATACTAGTGGCAATATCGCAGGGGGTGTACCCCCCCCATGATATTATTCTGAATATCCAAAGGGGGAGAATATGATATTGCTCCCAATATCACAGGGGGTGTACATCCTCCTGCTATATTGTTTCTTATATTTGGGGGAAAAGGATGATATTTCTGCCAATATTGTGGGGGCTGTACACACCTCCTGGGATATTGTTCCTAATATTCCGGAGGGGAGAGCATAATATTACTCTCAATGTCGCAAGGGGTGTACACCTCCCCTGTGATATTGTTCTTAATATCCATGATGGGATGCTGAGACCAGCCCAGTCAGAGAGACCCTAACCTAGCAGCACTAGAGGAATTAAAGACACACACACAGAAATATAGAGTGTGGAGTGGGAAGTCAGGGGTCTCACAGCCTTCAGAACTGAAAGCCCCGAACAGAGATTTACCCACATATTTATCGACAGCAAGCCAGTCATAAAATTTACTCAAAATATTCCTCATGTGAAATAAAGGGATGGGTCAAAATAAAGGGATGGGCTCTGGCTAGTTATCTGCAGCATGAACATGTCCTTAAGGCACAGATCGCTCATGCTATTGTTTGTGGTTTAAGAACACCTTAAGCAGTTTTCCACCCTGGGTGGGCCAGGTGTTCCTTGCCCTCATTCTGGTAAACTGACAACCTTCCAGTGTGGGCATCAAGGCCGTCACGAGCATGTCACAGTACTGCAGAGATTTTGTTTATGGCCAGTTTTGGGGCCAGTTTATGGCCAGATTTGGGGGCCTGTTCCCAACAATGGGAGAAGATGATATTATTCCCAATATTGCAAGAAGTGTACAGCCTCCTGTGATATAGTTCCTAATATCTAGGTGGGGAGAGGGTAATATTACTCCCAATATCGCAGGAGTTGTAAAACCCCTTAGATATTTTCCCTACAATCCATGGGGGAGAAAATGATATTACTCCCAATACTGAAGAAGGTGTACACACACTCTATGACGTTGTTCCCAGTATCCACGTTGGGAGATGATGATATTATGCCCAATATCGCAGGAGATCTACACCCACTCTGGGATATTGTTCCTAATAGAGAGGGGGGAGAGGATGATATTACTCCCAATATCACAAGAGCTGTACACCCCTTCTATGATATTGTTCCTAATATCCTAGGGAAGAGAGCATGATATTACACCCAATATCGCAGGGGGTGTACACCCACCCAGTGATATTGTTGTTAATGTCCAGGAAGGGAAAGGATGTTATTACTTCTGATATCGAAGAGGTGGTACTGACTCCCTGGTATATTGTTCCTAATATCCAGGGGAAGAGAGGATAACATTTTGCCCATTTTGCCCAATATTGCAAGGGATGTACACCCCCACTGTGATATTGTTCCTAATATCCAAAGGTAAAGAGGATGATATTACTCCCAACAGGGGGTGTACACCCATCTTGTGATACTGTTCTTAATATTTAGGGGGGAAGACAATGATAGTACTGTCCCTATCGCAGGGGTGGAAAATACCCCTTTGATATTGTTTTTAATATTTAGTGGGGGAGAGGATGATATTAATTCCAATATCACAGAAGACACACCCCCTGTGATATAGTTCCTAATATCCAGGGGAAGAGAAATATGACTCATAATAAGGCGAGGGGTGTACAGCCTCTCCATAATATTGTTCCTAATATCCAGGGGGGATTAGAATGATATTACTCCCAATATCATAGAGGGCGTACAGCCCCCTGTGATATTGTTCCAAATATTTAGGTTGGGGAGAGGATGATATTACTCTCAATATCTCAGAGGGTGTACACCCTTCCTGGGATATTGTTTCTAATATCAAGTGGGGGAGAGGATGATATTGCTCCCAATATTGCAGGGGGTATACACCCCCTGTTATTTTCTTCCTAATATCAAGGTTGGGAGAGAATTATATTACTGCCAATATCGCAGGAGTTGTACACTGCACCTGTGGTATTACTCCTAGTATCCAGGGAAAGAGAGAATGATATTACTCCCAATAGTGGAGGAGGTGTACACACCTCTGTGAAATTGTTCCTAATATCCAGTGGGTGAGACGATGATATTACTGGCAGGGGGTGTGCACCCCTTCTGTGATGTTGTATTTAATATCCAGGAGGGAGAGGATTACATTACTCCCAATATCACAGTGGGTGTACACCAACTCTGTGGTATTGTTCTTAATATCCAGGGAGGGAGAGGATGATATTGCTGTCAATATAGCCAGGGGTGGACACCCCTTCTTCGATATTGTTCCTAATATCCAGGGAGGAGAGCATGGTATTAATCCCAATATCGCTAGTGTATACACCCCTTTTTGATATTGTTCCTAATATCCCGGAGGAGAGTCTATGATATTACTGGCCATATCACAGGGTGTGTTCATCACCACTGTTATATTGCTTCTTAGTTCAAACAATGAGGAAATCGATATTCCTCCCAAAATGGAATGGGCTGTACACCCCCCATGAGATATTGTTCCTAATATATCCCCTGGCTATTTTCGCAGGGGAATGAGGCACCTCCCGCGATACCGGGAGTAATAGCACTCCCCTCTCCCCCTTGGCTATTATGATCCACATCGCAGGGGGGTGAGGCACCCCCCGCAATATGGGGAGTAATAGCACCCCCTCTCCTGCCCTGGCTTTTACGATCCACTTTGCAGGGGGTGAGGCACCCCCTGCGATATGGGGAGTAATAGCACCCCCCTCTTCCACCCTGGCTTTTATGATCCACAGTGGACTCATAGCCTGTTAATGATATTTTGAGTAATATCATCTCCCCCTCTGGAAATCATGAACTATTTCACAGACGGGTGTACACCCTCAGTGTAAAGAGGGTGTACACCCATCTGTATTGGGAGTAATATCATCCTCTTCTTCCCTGAATATTAAGAACAGTATCACAGGAGTGTTTCTACTCCCTGCAATATTGGGTGTCATATCCTCCTCTCTCACGTTGAAATGAGAAGCAGTATCACTGGGGGCATGTACACCTTCTGTGATATTTAAAGTAATATCATCCTCTTCCCTCCAGGATCATGGGAACAATATCCCTGGGGGGTGTACACTTTCTGTGATATATGTAGTAATATCATCCCCTCCGCCTTGGAATATTATTAAGGACCTCTCACACGGGGGTGTACAACCCTGCAGTATTGGGAATATGATTATCCTCTCACCCCCCTGCTTATTTGGAAAAATATCAGAGTGAGTGTACACTTCCTGCGATACGGGGATTAATATCCTCTTCTCCCTTTCTGGATATTAGAAACAATATCGCACGGGGGTTTACACTTTCTTCGCTATCTGGAGTAATGTCATCTTCTCCTTTTTAATATTATTATTATACTTTAAGTTTTAGGGTACATGTGCACAATGTGCAGGTTAGTTACATATGTATACATGTGCCATGCTGGTGCGCTGCACCCACTAACTCGTCATCTAGCATTAGGTATATCTCCCAATGCTATCCCTCCCCCTCCCCCCACCCCACAACAGTCCCCAGGGTGTGATGTTCTCCTTCCGGTGTCCATGTGTTCTCATTGTTCAATTCCCACCTATGAGTGAGAATATGCGGTGTTAGGTTTTTTGTTCTTGTGATAGTTTACTGAGAATGATGATTTCCAATTTCATCCATGTCCCTACAAAGGACATGAACTCATCATTTTTTATGGCTGCATAGTATTCCATGGTGTATATGTGCCACATTTTCTTAATCCAGTCTATCATTGTTGCACATTTGGGTTGGTTCCAAGTCTTTGCTATTGTGAATAATTCTGCAATAAACATACGTGTGCATGTGTCTTTATAGCAGCATGATTTATAGTCCTTTGGGTATATACCCAGTAATGGGATGGCTGGGTCAAATGGTATTTCTAGTTCTAGATCCCTGAGGAATCGCCACACTGACTTCCACAATGGTTGAACTAGTTTACAGTCCCAACAACAGTGTAAAAGTGTTCCTATTTCTCCACATCCTCTCCAGCACCTGTTGTTTCCTGCCTTTTTAATGATTGCCATTCTAACTGGTGTGAGATGGTATCTCACTGTGGTTTTGATTTGCATTTCTCTGATGGCCAGTGATGATGAGCATTTTTTCATGTGTTTTTTGGCTGCATAAATGTCTTCTTTTGAGAAGTGTCTGTTCATGTCCTTCGCCCAATTTTTGATGGGGTTGTTTGTTTTTTTCTTGTAAATTTGTTTGAGTTCATTGTAGATTCTGGATATTAGCCCTTTGTCAGATGAGTAGGTTGCAAAAATTTTCTCCCATTTTGTAGGTTGCCTGTTCACTCTGATGGTAGTTTCTTCTGCTGTGCAGAAGCTCTTTATTTTAATTAGATCCCATTTGTCAACTTTGGCTTTTGTTGCCATTGCTTTTGGTGTTTTAGACATGAAGTCCTTGCCCATGCCTATGTCCTGAATGGTAATGCCTAGGTTTTCTTCTAGGGTTTTTATGGTTTTAGGTCTAACGTTTAAGTCTTTAATCCATCTTGAATTAATTTTTGTATAAGGTGTAAGGAAGGGATCCAGTTTCAGCTTTCTACATATGGCTAGCCAGTTTGAATGGCAAGAACAATATCTCAGGAGGGATGTACACCCCCTGCCATATTGGGAGTAATATTACGCTCTTCCCCTCTTGATATTAGGAGCAAAATCCCAGCGTGGGTGTACACCTCCTACTACATGGAAAGTAATACCGTACTCTCCCTTCGTGAATTTTAGGAACAATATCACAGGGTGGGCGTACACAGCCTGCAATATTGAAAATAATATCATCCTCTCCCCCTCTGGATATTAGGAACACTATCACAGAAGGGTTGTACACTCTCTGCGATATTGGGAGTAACATCATGTTCGCCTTGCCTGAATATTAGGAGCAATATCCCCAGTACGCCCACTGTTATATTGGGAGTAATGTCATACTCTACCCCTTGGATATTAGGAGCAATATCACAAAGTGGGTGTACACCCATGGCGATATTGGGGGTAATATCATGCTCTCCCTCCCTGGATATTAGGAACAATATCACAGGTGGGTGTACACCCCTTGCAGTACAAAGAATAATATTATCTTCTCTTCCTTTAGCTATTAAGAACAATATCACATGGGGGGTGTACACCCCCTGCTCTATTGGTAGTAATATCATTCTCTCTTATTCTGGATAGTAGGAAAACTATCGCAGGCGGGGTGTACAATCCCTGTGATATTGAGAGTAATATCATCCTCTCCCAACGTGGATATTAGGAACAATATCACAGGTGGCATGTACACTTCTTCAATATTGGTAGTAATATCATCCTCTCCTCCCTGGATATAAGAAACAATATGACAGACGGGGTGGACACCCCCTGCGATATGGAGTAATATCCCACATTGGATATTAGGATCCATGGTGGACACACAGCGTGTTTACAATTTTGTGAGTAATATCTCCCCCTCTAGAAATTACAAACAATATCAAAGACGGGCGTACACCCTCTGCAATATAAGGAGGAATATCATCCTCTCCTCCCCTGGATATTAGGAACAATATCAAAGGAGTGTTTATAACCTCTGCAATATTGGGAGTAATATCATCCTCTCCCACGTTGAAATTAGTATCAATGGGGGCGTGTACACCCCCTGCGATATTGAAAGTAATATCATCCTCTTCCCTCCTGGATCGGGAACAATATCACTGGGGGGTGTACGCTTTCTGCGATATTGGGAGTAATATCATCTTCTCCGCCTTGGAATATTAAGGACAATATCACGGGGGGGGTGTACATCTTCTGCAATATTGGGAATAATATTATCCTCTCTCCCCCTGCATATTAGGAAAGATATCACAGAGTGGGTGTTCACCTCCTGCGATATGGGGAGTAATATCGTCCTCTCCCCTTCTGGATATCAGGAACAGTATCACACGGGGGTGTACACTTTCTATGATATTGGGAGTAATATCAACCTCTTGGCCTTTGAATATTAGGAACAATATCACCGGGTGGATGTACACCCCCTGCCATATTGGGAGTAATATCAGCCTCTTCCCTCCATGCATATTAGGAACAATATCCCAGGGTGGTTGTACACCTCCTGCTCTATGGGGAGTAGTGTCATCCTCTCCCTTCCAGGATATTAATAACAATATCACAGGGTGGGTGAACACAGCCTGCAATACTGGAATTATTATCATCCTCTCCCCCTCCGGATACTAGGAACAATATCACAGAAGAGGAGTACACTCCCTGCAATATTGGGAGTAATATCACAGGCTTCTTCCGTGAATATTAGGAGCAATATCAACTGGGTGGCTGTACATTCACTGCTATGTTGGGAGTCATGTCATTCTCTACTCCCTGGATATTAGGATCAATGTCACAGGGTGAGTGTACACCTACTGCGATATTAAAACTAATATCATGCTGTCTGTCCCTGGGTATTAGGAACAATATCACAGGTAGGTATACACCCCCTGTGGTATTAGGAGTAATAATATTATTAATTATTAAACATCAATTATCAATTTTAATAATATCAATGTTAATATTAATCAATATTGTAACATTATTAATTATTAATAATTACTTTAAATTTATTATTATGCATGAATAAAATTATTAATATTAACGTCATTTATCAATAATATTAGCTATTAATCTTGATATTAATTATTTTATTTCCAACATTACTTATTATTGATTTAAGTAATATTAATTACTGATATCATTATTTTATTATTAATAGTGATTTAATAGTGATATGACTATTATTAATAGTAATCATTAATATTTTTAACCAGTATTAATTTTTACTATGTTTATTGCAATTATTAATATAATGGTTACTATTAATTTTTATTATATTTATTAATATTAATAATATAATTTTTCCTGATATCCGGAGAGGATAGGATGATCTTACTCCCAACATCACAGAAAGTGTACGCCCCTCTATGATGTTATTCCTAATAGCCAGGGGGGGTAGAGGATGACATTATTGAGAATATCGCAGTGGGTGTACATCCCTTCAGTCATCTTGTTCCTAATATCCTGGGTGGGAGAGGATGATATGACTCCCAATATAGCAGGGGGCATAGACCTTCCCCGTGATATTGTCCCTAACATCCAAAGGTGGAGAGGATGATATTTCTTCCAATTTCGCAGGGGGTGTACAACACCCCTGTGATATCGATCCTATTATCCTGGGGGTGAGAGGATGATATCAGTCTCAATACTGCAGGAGTTGTACAATCCCTAGTGATATTGTTCCTAACATCCAGGGATGGAGAGGATGATATCACTCCCAATATAGCAGGGGGTGTACACCCCTTCTGTGACACTGTTCCTAACAGCAAGCGGGGGAAAGGAAGATATTACCCCCAATATTGCAGGCGGTGTACACCCCCTTGTGATATTGTTCCTTATATCCTGGGAGGGAGATGATGATACTAGTGGCAATATCGCAGGGGGAGTACACACCTACTGTGATATTGTTCCGAATATCCAGAGGGGGAGAAAATAATATTACTCCCAATATCGCAGGGGGTGTACATCCTCCTGTGATGTTGTTTCTTATATTCGGGGGGAGAGGATGATATTACTCCCCCTGCATGTACACACCCCCTGCAATATTGTTCCTAATATCCCAAAGGGGAGAGCATAATATTACTCTCAATATCTCAGGGGGTGTACACCTCCTCTGTAATAGTGTTCTTAATAGCCGTGATGGGCGAGGATGATATTACTCCCAATATCGCAAGAAGTGTACAGCCTCCTGTGATATAGTTCCTAATATCTAGGTGGGGAGAGGATGATATTACTGCCCATATCGCACGAGTCGTAAAACCCCTTAGTTATTTTGCCTACAATCCCGAGGGGAGAGGATGATATTACTCCCAATATCGAAGAGGGTGTACAACCTCCTGTGACATTATTCCCAATATCTACGTTGGGAGACTATGACATTACGTCCAATATTGCAGGGGATGTACACCCACCCTGAGATATTGTTCCTTATATCGAGAGGGGGAGAGGATGATATTACTCCCAATATCGAAGGAGCTGTACACCCCCCCTGTGATATTGTTCTTAATATCCTAGGGAAGAGAGGATGATACTACACCCAATGTCGCAGGGGGTGTACAGCCACCCAGTTAATATTGTTCTTAATGTACTCCACCTCCCTCCACCAGGGATATTGTTCCTAATATCCAGGAGAAGAGAGGATAACATTGTGCCCAATATTGCAGGGGGTGTACACACCCTCTGTGATGTTGTTCCTAGTATCCAAAGGTAGAGACGATGATATTACTGGCCATATCGCAGGGGGTGTACACCCTTCTGTGATATTGTTTTTGATATTCAGTGGGGGAGAGGATAACACTAATCCCGATATCGCAGAAGGTGTACAGACCCCTGTGATATAGTTCCTAATGTACAGGGAAAAGAGAATAATATTACTCTCAATATCGTAGGGGGTGTAACCCCCCCCCCCCCCGTATATTGTTCCTAATATGCAGCGGGGTAGAGGCTGATATTACTCCCAATATTGCAGAAGTTGCACACACACCTGTGATATAGTTCCTAATATCCAGTGGGAAAGAGGCTGATATTACTTTCGATATTGCAGTGGGTGTACACCCCCCGCTGTGGTATTATTCCTAATATCCAGGTGGGAAGAGGATGATATTGCTGACAATATCGAAGGGGGTGTACACCTCTTCAGTGATATGGTTCCTGATATTCAGGGGGTGAGTGGATGATATTACTCCCAATAACGTAGGAACTGTACACCCACCCTTTGATTTTGTCCTTAATAACCACATGGGGAGAGGTGATATTACTCCCAATATTGCAAGGGGTGTACACCCCACCCGTGATATTGTTTCTTATATCCAGGAAAGGAGAAGATGGTATTACTACCAATATTGAAGAGATGTACAGCCCCCCCATGGGATATCGTTCTAAATATACAGGTTGAAAGAGGATGAGATTACTCCCAATATAACAAGGAGTGTACACCCCGCCTGTGATATGAATCATAAAATCTAGAAGAGGAGAGAATGACATTGCTTACAAAAATACACGGGGTGTACACCCCCCCGTGATATGGTTCCTATCATCTAAAGGAAGAGATGATGATAGTACTCCCAATACCGCAGAAGATGGACATCCCGCGATATGGGGAGTAATAGCACCCCCTCTCCCTCCCTGGCTATTACGATCCACATCGCAGGGGGGTGAGGCACCCCCCGCGATATGGGGAGTAATAGCACCCCCCTCTCCCCCCTTGGCTATTACGATCCACGGTGGACTCATTGCCTGTTAACGATATTTCGAGTAATATCATCTCCCCCTCTGGAAATTATGAACTATTTCACAGACGGGTGTACACCCTTTGTAGTTTTGGCAGTAATATCATACTCTCCCTCCCTAAATATTAAGAACAGTATCCCAGGAGTATTTCTACTCCCTGCGATATTTGGTGTCATATCCTCCTCTCCCACGTTGAAATGAGAAACAATATCACTGGGGGCGTGTACACCTTCTGTGATATTTAAAGTAGTATCATCCTCTTCTCTCCTGGATCATGGGAACAATAATCACTGGAGCGTGTAGACTTGCTGCGATATATGTATTAATATAATCCCCTCCGCCTTTGCATATTAAGAACAACCTCACACGGGGGTGTACAACACCTGCGATATTGGGAATATTATTATCCTCTCACCCCCCTGCATATTAGGAAAAACATCAGAGTGAGTGTACACCTCCTGGGATATGGGAATTAATATCCTCTTCTCCCCTTCTGGGTATTATGAACAATATCACGCTAGGGTTTACACTTTCTTCGATATCTGGAGTAATGTCATCCTCTCCTTTTTTGAATGGCAAGAAGAATATCACAGGGAGGATGTACACCCCCTGAGATATTGGGAGTAATATTATGTTCTCCCCCAACTTGATATTAGGAACAAAATCCCAGCGTGGTTGTACACCTCCTACTATATGGAAAGTAATATCCTCTCCCTTCCTGGATTTTAGTAACAATATCACAGGGTGGGTGTACACAGCCTGCGATATTGAAAGTAATATCATCCTGTCCCCCTCCGGATATTAGGAACAATATCACAGAAGGATTGTACGCTGTCTTCGATATTGGGAGTAATATCATTTTCGCCTTCCATGAATATTAGGAGCAATATCCCCGGGTGGATGTACACCCACTGTTATATTGGGAGTAATGTCATACTCTACCCCTTGGATATTAGGAGCAATATCACAAAGTGGGTGTACACCCACGGCGATATTGGGGGTAATATCATGCTCTCCCTCCCTGGATATTAGGAACAATATCACAGGTGGGTGTACACCCCCTGCAGAATAAGGAATAATATTATCTTCTCTTCCTTTAGCTATTAAGAACAATATCACATGGGAGGGGTACGCCCCCTGCTCTATTGGGAGTAATTTCATTCTCTCTCATTCTGGATAGTAGGAATAATATTCCAGGCGGGGTGTACAACCCCTGTGATATTGAGAGTAATATCATCCTCTCCCAAAGTGGATTTTAGGAACAATATCACAGGGGGCATGTACACTTCTTCGATGTTGGTAGTAATATCATCTTCTCCCCCCGGATATAAGAAACAATATGACACGCCCTGCGATGTGGGGAGTAATATCGCTTCCTGGATATTATGATCCATGGTGAACACACAGCGTGTTTATGATATTGTGAGTAATATCATCTCCCTCTCTAGAAATTACGAACAATATCAAAGACGGGTGTACACCCTCGGCAATATAGGGAGGAATATCATCCTCTCCCCTCCTGGATATTAGGAATAATATCAAAGGAGTGTTTATAACCCCTGAGATACTGGGAGTAATATCATCCTCTCCCACATTGAAATTAGGAACAGTGTCCCTGGAGGCATGTACACCCCCCGCGATATTGAAAGTAACACCTTCTGCCCTCTGGATCATGGGAACAATATCACTGGGGGGCGTATACTTTCTGGGATATTGGGAGTAATAACATCCTCTCCGCCTTGGAATATTAAGGACAATATCACAGGGGGGTGTACATCTTCTGCAATATTGGGAACAATAGTATCCTCTCTCCCCCTGCATATTAGGAAAGATATCACAGAGTGGGTGTTCACCTCCTGTGATAGGAGGACTAATATCATCTTCTCCCCTTCTGGATATCAGGAACAATATCACACGGGGGTGTACACTTTCTATGATATTGGGAGTAATATCAACCTCTCGGCCTTTGACTATCAAGAACAATATCACCAGGTGGATGTACACCCCCTGCCATATTGGGAGTAATATCAGCCTCTTCCCTCCATGCATATTAGGAACAATATCCCAGGGTGGTTGTACACCTCCTGCTCTATGGGGAGTAATATCATCCTCTCCCTTCCAGGATATTAATAACAATATCACAGGGTGGGTGAACACAGCCTGCAATAGTGGAATTATTATCATCCTCTCCCCCTCCGGATACTAGGAACAATATCACAGAAGAGGTGAACACTCCCTGCAATATTGGGAGTAATATCATACTCTTCTTTCGTGAATATTAAGAGCAATATCACTGGGTGGCTGTACATTCACTGCTATGTTGGGAGTCATGTCATACTCTATCCCCTGGATATTAGGATCAATGTCACAGGGTGAGTGTACACCTACTGCGATATTAAAACTAATATCATGTTCTCCATCCCTGGATATTACGAACAATATCACTGGTAGGTGTACACCCCCTGAAGTATTAGGAGTAATATTATTATTATTAACCATCAATGATCAATTTTAATAATATCAATGTTAATATTAATTACTAGTATATTATTAATGATTAGTAATTATTTTAATTACATTCTGTATGACTTTAAATATTAATATTAGTCATCAAAACATTAATTATTAATCTTAATATTAAATATTATTTTATTATCAATGTTATTTATTGATTTAAGTAACATTAATTACTGATATTATTTTATTAATAATGATATCGCTATTAATAGTAATCACTAATATTTATAATCAATATTAATTTTACTATCATTATAATTATTAATATCAAAGATTACTATTAGTTTTTATTATATTTATTAATATTAATAATTAATATTATTCTTCCTGATACCCGGTGGCAAGGGGATGATATTACTCCCAATATCGCAGAAAGTGTACACCCCTCTATGATGTTATTTCTAATAGTCAGGGGGTAGAGGATGACATTACTCAAAATATCGCTGTGGGTGTACATCCCTTCGGTCATCTTCTTCCTAATACCCTGGGTAGGAGAGGATGATATTACTCCCAATATCGCAGGGGGCGTAGACCTCCCCTCTGATATTGTCCCTAATATCCAAAGATGGAGAGGATGATATTTCTTCCAATTTCGCAGGGGGTGTACACCACCCCTGTGATATTGTTCCTAAAATCCAGGGGGCGAGAGGATGATATTAGTCTCAATATCGCAGGAGGTGTACGCTCCCTAGTGATATTGTTCCTAATATCCAGGGACGGAGAGGATGATATCACTCCCAATATAGCAGGGGGTGTAACACCCCTTCTGTGATATTGCTCCTAATTTCCAGAAGGTAGAGTGTGATGTTCCTCCCAATATAGTAGTGGGTGTACCCCCGGCCTGTGATATTTCTCCGAATATTCAGGGAAACACAGGATGATAAACCCCAAATCTCGCAGAGTGTACACCCATTGTGTAATATTGTTCCTAATATACGAAGGTGGAGAGGATGATATTAGTTTCAATATCGCACGCTGTGTACACACACCTTGTGAAATTGTTCCTAATATCCAGGAGGAAAGAGAATGCTATTAATCGACGTTCCACATCGCGGAGGGTGCCTCATCCCCCGCGATATGGGGAGTAATAGCAGCCCCCTCTCCCCACCTGGCTATTACGATCCACATCTCAGAAGGGTGAGGCACTTCTTGCGATATGGGGAGTAATCGCGCCCCCCTCTCCCCCTCTGGCTGTTACGATCCACATCTCAGCGGGGTGAGGCACCCCTCTGCGATATGGGGAGTAATAGCACCCCACTCTGCCCCCCTGGCTGCTACGATCCACATCGCGGGGGTGTGAGGCACCCCCGGCGATATGGGATGTAATAGCACCCCCCTCTCCCCTGCTGGCTGTTACGATTCACATCGTGGGGGAGTTAGGCACCCCCCGCGATATGGGGAGTAATAGCACCCCCGTCTCCCACCCTGGCTGTTAATCCCCATCAGATGGGCAGTTTGCAAATATTTCCTCCCATTCTATCAGATGTCACTTCAATTCGTTGATGGATTTTTTTGCTTTGCTGTGCAGAACCTTTTTGTTTTGGTTGCTTGTGCTTGTGGAGTATTACTGAAAAAATGTTTGCCCAGACTAATGTCTTGTAGAGTTTCCTCAGTGCTTTCTTTTAGTAGTTTCATGGTTTGAGGTCTTAGATTTAAGTCTTTAATCCATTTTGATTTGACTTTTTGTGTATGATGAGAGATAGGGGTCTAGTTTCATTCTTCTGCATATGGGAATCCAGTTTTCCCAGCACCATTTATTGAAGACACCGTCCTTTCCCTAATGTAAGTTCTTGGCATCTTTGTTGAAAATGAGTTCACCATAGATGTATGGATTTATTTCTGGGTTCTCTATTCTGTTCCATTGGTCCATGTGTTTGTTTTTATGTCAGTATCATGCTATTTTGGTTAGCATAACTCTGTAATACAATTTGAAGTCAGGTAATGTGATTCCATCAGTTTTGTTCTTTTTGTTCAGGATAGCTTTGGCTATTCTGGGTCTTCTGCGGTTCCATATAAATTTTAGGATAGCTTTTTCTATCTCTTGAAGAATGTCACTGGTATTTTGACAGGGATTGCATTGAATCTGTAGATTGCTTTGGGTAAGATGAACATTTTAATAACATTGATTCTGCCAATCCATGAACATGGAATATCTTTCCATTTTTTGGTGTCATTTTCAGTTTGTTGCATCAATGTTCTATAGTTTTCATTGTAGAAATCTTTTACTTCTTTCATTTAGCTAATTCCTAGGTATCTTATTTTATTTGTAGCTATTATAAATGGGATGAGTTTCTTGATTTCTTTTTCATATTGTTCATTGTTGGCATCTAGACATGCTACTGATATATGTATATTGATTTTGTATCCTGCAACTGTACTGAATTTGTTCATCAATTCTGATAGAATTGGTGGAGTCTTTAGGTTTTACCAAATATTAATATAAGATCATGTCATCTGCAAACAATGATAATTTGCCTTCTTCCTCTCCAATTTGGATGCCCTTTGTTTCTTTCTCTTGTCTGCTTGCTCTAGCTAGGACCTCCTGTACTATGTTGAATAGCAGTGATGAAAATGGTCATTCTTGTCTTTTTCCAGATCTTATGGTCAGACCGGCTTTCAGTTTTTCCCTGTTTAGTATGATACCAGTTGTGGGTCTGTCATATATGGTTTTTATTGTGTTGAGGTATATCCTTCTATACCCAGTTTTTTCAGCGTTTTAATCATGCAGGGATGTTGAATTTTATCAAATGCCTATTCAGCATCAATTGAAATGATTATGTAGGTTTTGTTCTTCATTGTGTCTATATGATTTATGACTGATTGATTTGCATATATTGAACAATCCTTGCATTCTTGGGAAAATCCCAGTTGATCATGATGAATTACATTTTTAATGTATTATTGACTACTGGTTGTTAATATTTTGTTCAGGATCTTTGCATTGATATTCATCAGGGATATTGGCCTGTAGTTTTCTTTTTTTAATGTATTTTTGTCTGGTTGTGGTATCAGGATAATACTGGCCTTGAGAAATGAGTTTGGAAGTATTCCTTCCTCTGTTTTTTTGAAATAGTTTGAGTAGAATTCCTATTAGTTATTCTCTAAATGTTTGGTAAAATTCAGCAGTGAAGCCACTGAGTCCCAGGCTTTTCTTTGCTGGGAGACATTTTATTACAGCTTCAATCTCATTACTTGTTATTGGTCTCTTCAGATTTTGGATTTCTTTATGGTTCAATCTTGGTAGATTGTATGCATTTAGGGATTTACCCATTTCTTCTAGGTTCTTTAATTATTGGCATATAGCTGCTCATAGCAGCCTCTAATGATTCTTTGAATTTCTGCAGCCTCACTTATACTGTCTCCTTATTCATCTATAATTTTATGTACTTGGGTCTTCTCTCTTTTTTTCTTAGTATTGCTAAAGATTTGTTGATTTTGTTATCTTTTCAAAAAACAACTTTTCATTTCATTAATATTTTGTGTTTTTTGTTTCAATTTTGTTTTTGCTGTGATCTTTTTAATTTTCTTTTTTCTTTTTCTTCCCTCCCCCCTTTTTTTTGCAATTTTTATTCCAGCATTGAATCTGATCTTTATTATTTATTTCTTATTTATTTATTTAGAGACAGGTTCTCACTCTGTTGCCCAGGCTGGAGTGCAGTCACACAATTTCAGCTCACTGCAACCTTTGCATCCCAGGCTCAAGCAATCTGCCCATCTCAGCCTCTTGAGTAGCTGGGACTACATGCACATGCCACCATGACTCGCTAATATTTTTGTATTTTGTGTGTGTGTGTGTGCAGAGATGGGGTTTTACCAAGTTCCCCATGCTGGTCTTGAACTCCTGAGCTAAAGTGATCTGCCCGCCTTGGCCTCCCAAAGTGCTGGGACCACAGGCCTATGCCACTGCACTCAGCCTATTTCTTTTCTTCTACTAATTTTGGGTTTGGTTTTCTTTTGCTTTTTAAGTTTTTTAAGATGTATTGTTGGGTTGTTTGAAGTTTTTCTACTTTTTTTGATGTAGGCACTTATTGCTATAAACTTTCCTCTTAGTACTGCTTTTGCTGTATCCATAGGTTTTGGTATTTTTTTTTCCATTTTCATTTGTTTCAGAAAAATTTTAAATCTTTTTCTTAATTTCTTCATTGACCCACTGCTCATTCAGGAACATATTGTTTAATTTCCATGTGTTTGTGTAGTTTCCAAAATTTCTCTTGCTATTGATTTCTGGTTTTATCCCATTGTAGTCAATGAAGATATTTGATATAATTTCAATTTTGTTTGAAGTTTTTAAAACTTGTTTTGTGACCTAACATATGGTCTATTCGTGAGAATGATCCATGTGTTAAGGAGAAGAATGTGTATTTTGCAGCTGTTGGATGAAATATTCTGTAAATATCTATTAGATCCATTTGGTCTATAGTGCAGATTAAGTCTGAGGTTTCTTTGTTGATTTTCTGTCTGGATGATCTGCCCAGTGCTGAAAGTGGGGTGTTGAAATCTCCAGCTATTATTGTATCAGAGTTTCTCTTTCTCCTTAGCTCTAATTGCTTTATAATCTGGGTGCTCCAGCATTGGGTGCATGTATATTTACAATTGTTATATCCTCTTGACCCCTTTATCATTACATAGTGACTTTTTTGGTCTCTTTTTATAGTTTTTGTCTTGAAATCTATTTTGTCTGATGTTAGTATAGCTACTGCTGCTCTTTTTTGGTTTCCATTGGCATGGAATATCTTTTTTCATCCCTTTGTTTTCAGTCTCTATGTGTCTTTGTATATGAAATGTGTTTCTTGTAGGCAATAGATAATTGATCATTGGGTCTTTTTTTTTAAATCTATTTCAGCCACTCTATGTCTTTTGATCAGAGAGTTTAGTCCATTTACATTCAATGTTATTATTGATAAGTAAGGACTTACTCTTGCCATTTTGTTATTCATTTCTGGTTGTTTTGTGGTCTTCCTTCTTTCCTTTTTTCCTGTCTTTCTTTTAGTAAAGGTGATTTTCTCTGGTGGTATGTTTTAACTTCTTGCTTTTCCTTTTTGTGCTCTTTGATTTGACATTACCAGGAGGCTTGCAAATATCTTATAACCCATTATTTTAGACTGATGAAAACTTAACACTCATTGTACAAGCAAAGAAAATAACAAGTAAAGAGAAAACTAATAAAAACTAAAATTTAACTTCATCCCTCTGCTTTTTAACTTTCTGTTGTTTCTATTCACGTCTTATTGTACTGTCTATGTCTTGAAAAGTTGTCGTAGTTGTAATTTTTGGTTAGGTTCATCTTTTAGCTTTCCTACTCAAGATATGAGTAGTTTACACACCACAATTACAGTGTCATAATATTCTGTGTTTTTCTGTGCACTTACTACTACCAGTGAGTTTTGTACTTTCAGATGATATTTTATTGTTTCATTAACATTCTTTTCTTTAGATTGAAGAACTTTCTTTAGCATTTCTTGTAGAACTGGTCTGGTGTTGATGAAATCTCTTAGCTTTTGTTTGTCTGGGAAAGATTTTATTTCTCTTTCATGTTTAAAGGAAATTTTCATTGGATATACTAATCTAGGATAAAAGTGTTTTTTTCCTTCACCACTTGAAATATGTCATGCCACTTTCTCCTGGCCTATAAGGTTTCCACTGAGAGGTCTGCTGCCAGTATTGGAACTCCTTTGTATGTTATTTGTTTTTCTTCTTTTGCTGCTTTTAAGGTCCTTTATCTTGGACATTTGGGAGTTTGATTATTACACGTCTTGAGGTAGTCTTATTTGGGTTAAATCTGCTTGGTGTTCTATAACCTTCTTGTACTTTGAATATTGATATCTTTCTCTAGGTTTGGGAAGTTCTCTGTTATCATCCCTTTGAATAAACTTTGAACCCAGATCTGCCTACCTCCACTTTAAGGCCAATAAGTCTTTGATTTGTCCTTTTGAAGCTATTTTCTAGATCTTGTGGGTGTGCTTCTTTCTTTTTAAATCTTTTTTTCTTTTGTCTCCTCTGACTGTGTATTTTCTTTTGTCAGTTTTTGTTTTTGTTTCAGGCAGGATCTTGCTCTGTTGCCCAGGCTGGAATGCAGTGATGTGATCATGGCTCACTGCAGCCTTGACCTCATGGGCTCAAGTGATCCTCCCACCTCAGCCTCATGAGTAGCTGGAGCTACAGGCACATGCCACCATACTCGGATAATTTTTGCATTTTTTTTGTAGAGATGGGGTTTCACCATGTTGCCCAGGCTGGTCTTGAACTCCTGGGGTCAAGTGATCTGCCCACCTTAGCCTTCCAAAGTCAGACCCAAAGCCAGCACAACACTGGGTCTCACTCAAGTCCTACAGTGACCACTGCCTGGCTACTGCCTATATTCACTCAAGACCAAGGAGCTCTACAATCATTAGGTCATGAATTTAGCCAGGTTTGTATCCTTCCTTTCATGGTGGAGAGTTCCCCCTCAGACCCAGGTGGGTTCAGAAATGCCATCCAGCAGCCAGGACCTGAAATTGGGAACCTTAAGAATCTATCTGGTGCTCTATTATACTGTTACTGAGCTGCCACCCAAGCTGCAAGACAAAGTTCTCCCCAGCCTTCCCCCTCCCCTTTCCTCAAGCAGAGGAGTCTCTCCCTGTGGCCACCACTGCCCGAGGCCCACAGCGAGTACTGCCTGGCTACTGCCAATGTTCACTCAAGGCCCAAGGGGTCTTCATTCAGCTTGTAGCAAATGCTGCCAGGCCTGGGGCTCTCCCTTAAGAGGAGTGGGCTCCTCTCTGTGCCAGGGCAGGTCCACAAATGCTGTCCAGGAGCCAAGCCCTGGAATTAAGGACCCCAGGAGCCTGCTTGGTACTGTACCCACTGTGGCTGAGCTGGTATCCAAACTACAAGGCAAAGTGCCCTTTACTCTTCCTTCTCCTTTCCTTAAGTAGAAGAGTCTCTTCCCACAGACTTCACAGCTGGGAATGTGCTAGGTCACACCTGAAACTGGCATGACTCTGAGTCTCCCCCAAGGCCCACAGTGAGTGCTACATGGTTACCCCTGCTCATGATTCAGGGCCCAAGGGCTCTTTAGTCAGCAGGTGATGAATCCTGCCAGGACTGGTTCCTTCCTTTTCTCTTTCTGCCTTAAAGGCAACAAGTTCCCTTCTGGCCCAATGTATGTCTAGAAATGTCATCTGGGAGCTAGGGGCCTCACAACTGTGCCCAATGGCCTATTCTATTGTGAATGAGATGGTATCCAAGTTGTAAGACAAAGTTCTCTTTACTTTTCCCATCCTCTCCTCAAGCAGAAAGGAGTTTCTCCCAAAGCTGCAAGGTGCACTGCCTGGGGTTGAGGAGGGGTGGCAGAAGCACTCCCTTGGCTGCTACAGCTGGTGTCTCACCAGGTCGCATGCATCCCTAGTCTACTGACTCTGAGCTCAGCAGTGCACAAGGACTTGTCCAGGAATTGTACTTGTGGCCTAGGCTGCCTTTCAAGTTCATTTAGGATTCCAGAGCACTTTAGCCTATGATGGAGAGGCTTGCTAGAACTCAGGTTCTGACTGCTGGGATGGATAATTACCCTCTGGCTAGGGCTGGTCTAAATGCTTCTTCCTTGGGCACTGGCTGAGCTCTGCCTGGTGTTGCTTTCTGCTGTGACAGGGCAGCACTGAGTTCCAATGCAAAGTCCTGCAATCAGTGCTGTCTCCCTCCCCCAAGTTCACAGATTCTGTCTCTGCACCACGTGGCTGTTGCCAGGTGATGGGAGAGGGTATAAGCAATTCAAGACTGCCTTTCCTACCCTCTTCAGTGCCTCCTTCCTAAATATGATGTTAAAACCAGGCACTGTGATCGCTCACCTGTTTTGTGGTTCTTATGAAGGGACTTTTTTCCCCCCACTGTGGATAGTTTTTCAGTTTGGTGTTCCTGCAGTGGAGATGATCTCTGGAGGGTTCTATTTGGCCATCTTGTTCTGCCTTCCTCCAGAAATTTTAAACTTTAATAAATTCCAACAACATTATTTTCCTTCATGGATTATACTTTTGGCGTTACATCTAAAAAGACATAATTAAACCCAAGGGCACATAGTTTTTCTCTTATGCTTTCTTCTAGAGGTTTGATGGTTTTGCATTTTACATTTAGATTTATGGTTCATTTCGAAGTAATATTTGTGAAAGCTGTATGGTCTGTGACTTTGTTATTATTATTATTTTTTCATGTGTATGTCCATTTTTTTCCAGCAGCATTTGTGGAAAAGATGATTCTTTGTCCATTGAACTGCCTTTGTTTGTTTGTCAAAGATCATTTGACTCTATTTGTGTAGGTCTATTTCTGGGCTTTCTATACTGTTCCATTGATATATGCATCTATCTTTTTGCCAGTACGGTCTCTTTATTATTGTAGCTTTCCAGTAATATACATTTTTGGCAACCATGTTTTTATGTTTTCAATGATTGTTTTTCAGTTGATTCTCTTGTGATTTTTTTTCATTTTTACCAATATATTCACAAAATTCACCTGAACTTCCAGGACAATATTAAATAATGGTAATTGTGTGCTCAGTGGCTCTCATACTTGGGTATTCACACAATTCAGCTGCTATGATGGTTAATATGGCTAGTTTTATGTGCCAGCTTGGCTAGACTATAATATTCACTAATTTAATCAAACACTAATTTAGATGTTGCTATGAAGGCAATTTGCAGATGTAGGTTACATCTACAATTAGTTGACTTTAATTAAAAGAGGTTACCCTTGACAATGTGGATGAACCTCATCCAATCAAGTTAACTGCTTAAGAATAAAAACTGAATTTTTCCAGAGAAGAAGAAATTCTGCCTTAACACTGCAAATCGACTGCTGCCTGAGTTTCTAGCCTGGCCTTTAAAGATTTTAGACTTGCCAGCTCCATAACTGTGTGAGCCAATTCCTTAAAATAAATCTATGTATGTATGTTTGTATGTATCCATTCATCTATCCATCCATCCATTTATCCTATAAGTTCTGTTTCTCTGGGGAACCCTGACTGATACAGCATCCAAAAGAATAAAATCCCTAGGAATAAATTTAATGAATAAGGTAAAAGATTTGTGCTTGAAAATTATAACATTGCTGAAAAAATTAAAGAAGATCTAAATAAATGAAAAGATATATTCCATGGTTATGCATAACAAGACTTACCATTTTTTAAATGATTATACTTCCAAAGGCAATCTACAGATTCAAAGAAATTGCTATCAAAATATCAATAATTACTTTTGCAGAATTTGAAAAGCTTATTCTAAATGCATGTGGAGGTTACGCACGAGTTCAGTAACGTGGGCATCCACTCACCAAGGCTGACTTGGCTACAGGCACTGCCAAGTGCCCAATTTGCCAACAGCCAGAGAACAATACTGAGTTCCCATTGTGTCACCATTCCCCAGGGTGATCAGCCAGCTACCTGGTGGCAGGTTGATTACACTGGATTGTTTCCATTATGGAAGGAGCAGCATTTTGTTCTTACCAGAATAGATGTTAGTCTGAGTGAAGATTTGACATCTTTGCTTGCAATGCTTCTACCAAAACTATTGTCTGTGCTATGTTAGGCCATTCTTTTGTTGCTATAAATAAATATTCAAGGATGAGTAATTTATGAAGAAATAAGGTTTAGTTGGCTCATGGTTCTGCAGGTGTACAGGAGGCATGGCTCTGGCACAGGCTTCTGGGGAGGCCTCAGGGAGCTTTTACTCATGGCACAAGGCAAAATGGAAGCAGGCACATCACACGGCAAGACAGAAAGGGGGAAGGCGCCACACACTTTCAAACAACCAGATCTCCCAAGAACTCATTATCTCAAGGACAGTACCAAGCCATGAGGGATTTGCCCCCATGACTGAAACACCTCCCACCAGGCCCCACCTCCAACCTTGATGATTGCATTTCAATGTGAGATTTGGGTGTTAGAAATAAGCCAACCATATCATGTGGACTTACAGAATGCCTTATATGCATATTCCATTATATGTGTAATTCCACATGGCATTGTTTCTGATCAGGGAAGTCACTTCAGAGCAAACAAGGTGCAGCAGTAGGCCCATGCTCATGAAATTCACTGGTGTTACCATGTCCCCCATGTTTCTCTCTTGTGTCTCATCTCTGCTCTTTACTGATTCAGGGACCTAAGGTCCTAAGCCCAAGTGTTGTAGAAAGAGCACATTTCAGATAGGGACTCAGAACACCCTTTACAACATTTTAAAACTGGGTTACAGAAGTTTTAGTTTCAGCAGTTCCTAATTACCTTAAAGAAGGCAATTTCCATGTCTTATAAAAAACCAGTTTGAAAAATCTACTCTAGAAAAAGCAAGGAAAATCAGTAACATCGCAGCCTGCTTTTGGATTCTTTCATCTCTTCATAGGGTGGCACTGAAGTTACAGACTTACATCCTCCCTCATTGAGGAAGACTTGTCAAACCATCTCTGGATGGACAGACTGAGAGAAATAGACTCAGGGCTGTGGCTGTGTACACTCTCCCATTTCCTTGCCAGAAATCTTGCCTTTCCCATCCCCGAGCCCATAGTTACTGTTCTTAGTTAGATGGCATTGGCAGAAAGATGCTGGGATCTCAGCCATGCATGGTAGAAAATATAAGCAAGCTGGGGCTGAGTACAAGCCAGGAAGATTAACTCATCAATGAGGAGGCTCCTTGTGAAGGACACTTCAAAGACTACTATTTAATTGGGGCATAACCACTTGTATTAATTGGATAGGCCGACTGCAGTAACTAAGGTTCGTGAGTGTATGATGACTCATGAACAGTCCAAAATAGTTCCAGTTGGTGGATAACTATGCTTCACCCAGAAATCCAGGGATCCAGGCTGACAGGATCTACCATCTTTAATACATGACTTTCAAGGTTGCCCTGGACAACAACACCAAGCCACTAGAAGGGAAAAGAGGTCACATAGGAGGTTTTTATGGGACAGACCTGGAACACTACTTCTCATATTCCTTTGGTAGAACTGAATCATATGTCCACATCCAACTGCCAGGGAGACTGGGATATAGGCCCAAGAAGAAGAGGAAATAAATTTCATGAGGAACAGCAATCTCTTACACAGTGTCTGTGCCCAAGGGATGGTGATGTGCTGTCTGGATTAGGGCAGCAGGAGCTAAAGACAAGATTTGGCTGAAATTCAGACAAGAGGCAGCATTTTCTTTTGAATGGTTCTGCCTGGCTTAGAGTAAGACCTAGCCAGTTGCAGGTGTGGGAAATTGTTTTGGTGGTGGGAATGTTATGGATGTTAATGTCCAGGCCCTGGGGAAAGGGATTGCAAGAATGAAGTAGGGTGGAGTTCCTGAACCTAAATCACAAGGACTAAGATTCAAGTCCAGGTTCTAGTGATGATATTGAAGGCCAATAATGTGGACAGAGATTTAGACAAAGGCTTACATGTGAGGACTTGCCTTGACATTAAGACATCATTCCAGGTCTCCATTGTCAGTGTGTCTAGAACTGCTTGGCTTGGCTCTGGGTTAGTTTGGGGATGGTCCTTATGCTGAAATTCTCCTTAGGCCTCTCTTTTCCAGAAGGGCACCCAGTTATGCTCTTCAAAGGGCTTAATTTCTCAGAAGCAAGGGTTGGAGGGGTGGCTGAATCCTAGTACCTACGGCTTCCTCAAGCAGCCTTAGTCACACTTCCTAGCTTTTAAGAGTTTACATTAAAATGATGCTAGGATACAGGTTACAAATTTCTGATGTCCGGTGATCTCATAGGACACATTCTGTCTCACAGTTTAGGCATGTAACTTAGGGGCTAAATAACTACCATTAGATTCTATATAGAGAGCTGGAACATAAATTGTATGCTTTGTTTGCTTTCTTCTTTGTGGGTGGCCAAAAAATCTTAAAAATTGTTAAGCCTTTCTGAAAATTGTCTTTTAAGGATGATACTGCATGTACTGTCTAGAGATGTAGTTGGAACAGATGTTGCGAGAGGCTCTTACACTCTAATATGCTGAGAATGTCTGTGTATGCCCCAGGCATGATCGCAGAGAACCCAACACATTCATAGCACTACAGGGCGTTACCTTCCACTTGACCCTTCCATTCTCTTGATTGTTCAATGCACAAGGGTCATTAAGAGGCTGAATGATGATTATTACACTCCATTGTGGTTGCCAGCTATCTGATGGCAGATTTTCGAAAACAGAAACCACTGCAGGTTAATGGTATATGGAATGTGCAAGATTTTGGTCTTGGAGAAAGCTAGATTATTTTGTAGAGCAAAACATGGGATGATAAAGGCGGCAATATATTGTGGCATTTGAACACAGAATCTGTGGTAAATCTGCCATTTGCTGGAAACTTAACCTTGGGTTAATTGTAATCATTCAGTGCCTCAGTTTCCTCATCTTAGAAATGGGGATTATAACAGTACTCATTTGCACAGGGTTATAGCGAGAACTAAATTAACCAACGTATGTAAAGTGCTTAGCACAAAACCTGGCATATAGTAGGCCCTCAAAAAATTATTTATTATTATAGGCTAAGATTTCTTTAAAAAAACTTGTCATTTGAGTAATAAAAGTGGGAGATTAATCAGTCACCAAATTTAAACACTTGTTCGTAGTGGTTAGAACTGGGTCCTTAGAATTCTGTTGGTAAAAGGGATTTTTTTTTTTAAATCCACTCTACCTATATCAGCCTTTTTAGTTACCCTCCTTAAAAAGATATTAGATCAAGTAGGGAAAATGTTCCCCAGAAAAGTCTGGAGCAGAGGCTTTCATAGTGTGGGCTCCAAGTCAGTGCCATCAGCATCATAGGGAACTTGTTAGAAATGCAAATTCTCAGGCTGGGCACCCCAGACCTACTGAATCAGAAACTCTTGGGGTTGGGCTCAGCAGTCTGCTTTAACAAGCCTTCTAGTTGAATCTTAAGCTCAGATTTGAAAATCACTGGCTTAGAGCCATCAGAGATAAGCTGTTGATAAAACGTAGCCTGTAGTCATTGCAGAAAACTTACGGAAGTTTATGAGCCCAGACCTGCATTTCCAGGTGCCTTCTGGAATCTCCACCTGAGCCCCTCAATTCCCCTACTCTGCTTCCTCCTGTGGCATCTTAGTTAATAGTCCTGCCACCCTCCCTTCTAAATTCTTCTCCTCTCTCACTTTTCACCCAACCAGCCACTAAAAATCTGTCAATTCCCTTTCCTGAATGCTTCTATCCATCTGCTCCTCCCTTCCCACTCTCTCCACCTGCATTCAGGCTCTCACTACCTCTTGTTGGGTTTAGTGTGGTAGTGTCATATTTTTGCGGCATCTTCTGACCTTTGCTTCTGGAGTTTGCCCACTCTTCTCTCCACACTGCTGTGGAGCACTGATGGATCAGTTGTTTCACTGCTTAAAGACCTTTCAGTGCAGTAGACAAATTCCTTACCATGAGATTCCCAGTGCTTCACAACCTAACCAGAGACTCTGTTTCTAGCCTCCTCTGTCTCATGCCTTATGCTCCCACCACTCTCGCCTTTCCTGTCAATGCCATGCTCCTTCACAGCCCCTTACTTGGCATATGTGTTTGCCCTTTGCCTTGTATGTTCATCCTCATTATCTGCTTACTGAGGTTCTATTTAACAGCTCAGCTTCAAAATCACTGATCCTAAAGTCTTCCTTGACTCTCCTAAGGAGATTTAGAATCTCTCTTTGCAGTTCTCTGGCCATATTCTACTTTTAAAGGCATTTACTGCTGATATTGATAGCTTTCCTACCAAACTGTGAACTTCTCAGGGCCAAAACAACAAACAAACAAACAAACAATCTTATTCATCTTTGCATCTCCAGCACAGTGGTTAGCACTTATTAAGTAGGCGCTTAATAAACGTTTGCTGAAGGAATAAAGCAATGACTGTGTGTTGTTACAAGAGGATTTTCCTTCTAAGGAACAAAACCTCAGTTGCCCAGGTGTAGAATACTGCCTTTGAGAGAGTATTTATGTTCTGGATCATGGCAGCCATGGAAGAGGATCTGTTTCTGAGGGAAACCACGGGAGAGTTTGGGCAGGTGAAATGTAATTATCCATGCTGGCCCTAAGCCAAGGGTTTGCAGAGCTGCCACCAGGCCAGGGCTAAACACAAATAGGTATGACCTTCATCTTGCCTCCCTTCTGAAGAGCAGCTCCTCGGGCAGCCCGCAGCTCCGGAACAGCTTGCTAGGGCCTGGGGTCAGTTTCACTTGCAGGAAAGAGGCAGCAGAGCCCTGTGACCCCGCTGAGCTGGCTCCATCGCTGTTGGTTTAAACACACAGCCTGGTGTGGAAAAGGCAGATGGTCTGTGATCTTCCTCTCATTCTTTTCGGCTGCACCACTGCATTCCTTCTAGCTGAAGTTAGCAACACACACTTCCCTTTCGGGGCACAAGACCCCAGCATGTAACTATAACTTGACGTCAGGTTACCAGAAGCCAATTTCCTCACTGTGTTTGTGTGTCTGTGTCTTCATGTTTATTTCTAAAATCAATAAATCTCCCTACCCAAATTACAAAGCAACACATGCATAAATGCAGAAAATTGAAAAGCCATTTTGCAGCTGACCGTGAATCCTTTCTGGAAGAAGGTGCAGGTTACAGAAAAAGTGGCTGAGCTGGGATATAAACCCAGGAAGTGTGACTTTGCTGCAGCTGGGCTCTCAGTGGGTCTACCTGGGGTGGGGGTGGGTTGGAGGCAGCAGAGGCCAACACACATAGCAGGGACCTCTGAGTTCCCTGGTTTTGAATATAACTAAAACCATAGAACCTTGGAGCTTCCACAAATATGACCTTGGAGGTGGCCACAGGAGAGAGGTGGAGGAACGCAGAGTGGAGAAGGAGGCATGTTCTTTCTACAAAGCAATCTCACATTTAGTCAGTATTGTGCCTCTCAACCATTCTCTAGACAAGATTTTATGCACAGAGCAGAGACTTTCCCCTAAGCAGCAATATTCCTGTATGTTCTACTTTTCATTTTCTTGATTCTCCCTCCAAAGGTCTCCAAGCAATTTACAAACTGTAGGTTGTGTTTGCAATTCATACCCTTAAAGTATATCTATGTTTCTCTCCCCTCTCACTTTTCTTTTGTCTTTTATGATTGTGACTAAAAAAGAGGAAGAGTGGAGACCAAAGCTCATGAATGTATATGAAGCCATTACATTTGCTGGGCGAGATGCATGCTCAGGCACTCCTTTTTAAATGCTTGTCTCCCCATCACCAGAACTGCTTTGGAGCTTTTCCCTCCAATTGCACAAATTCATTATTTACTCTTTTACTGCGTCTATTTATAAATCCACATGGACCCTCTGGGAGGCCCAATTCGGGCCTCAGAGCTCCTGTAATGAAGCCTGGCTCACTCTGCTCTGATGTAGCTCACTGCTACTGCTGCTTGGGGGATACAGTGTGTGCCCACCACTTTTTTGGAAGGTCAGCGTGACTGAGGACAAAGGATTTTAAATTGTGCTCTGTGGAATCCTGGAATCTTAAGTAAGCTGCCAAAGAGTTCTAGGAAATAACAAAAATAAAATCAGCCATCGACACTGTTTTATTTTTCAAGGCACTATGATTTTGGTTTTGTTGTTAAACTTTTTCTGGGGTTAAAGTATATATCTAGTGCAAGCAGACCATACTCCCTGAAGTTTGTTTTAAAAGTTCACCAGCGGTGTGGGGCCAGTATGTCTGGAGGAGCCAGATGGGAGTAGTCACGGCGACATTCCCTGGTGGTGACTTCTCCTACATAGGGGTTTGTCTATTTGACCAGCTTGTCAGCACCAAGCAGACGATGCCTGACAATAGTAAGCGCTTAATAAATCTTTGTTGAATAAATGAGTGATTGATTTTTTTTTGGCCACGCTGTGCCTCTGATGGTCCTGGCTGCAGGCTTAATTCTGTTCCAGATTTTGTGCCCATTTTGACCAAAGAAGGAATTTTATCAGCAGCTTTACTGTATGTGCCTCGTATGCTTAGAGTCAGGACCCTCAGGCCTGATTGGGACCAAGGGACCCCTCATGACCCACTGACAGACCCCTTCAAGCTCCTTAAGTTTCCTTTGCTGCACAAGGTTTGCTCCCAGGGGAATTCCTGGGTGCTTGGCTCACCTTTGGTTCCAGCTCTTCCCTTTCTCCTCCAGTGATGACGCCCTGTGATTTCAGGGCAGGAGCTCTGGGGTCCTGGCACCCTGGGGTTTCTCTCCAGATGATTGCCTATATCCTCCTACTCCAGGGTCTTGGCCACCAGTTGAGCTGACCAGGTCCCTGGCATCAAACGCTTTGTAGCCTAGCTGCTCCTTGGAATCTGCTTCTCTAGTTAGCCAGCCCTCTCCCTCAGAGAGTGAGCACCTGGGTATGGGGGCAGGGTGTGTGTGTGTGTCTGTGTGTGTCTGTGTGTGTGTGTGTGTTTAAGAGGGAGAGAGGCTTTGACTCAGTTTCTCTCCTCGAGTGACTTGTAATGCTCCTCCGGACCCCCATCCTCTAAACCCCCCAGAAATGTCAAGTTTCTCAAAGTTTAGAGGAAAGGGAAGTCTCTAACCGCTACCTAACTGGTCATAGATAAGTTTACAGTAAGAGTACAAGTATTTCCACTAACAAACACATAGAGTGACTCCTTGGGAAAATATCGGGGTCCCTGGCTTTTTGCTTCCTAAGGTTGCATTTGTAATAAAGGAACAAAACTATTGTCAAAAATATGATTTATTGCAATTACTTTGGGAAAAGCACTCAACATGAGAGAACTTCACTTTTTAGAGGACTCTGCTCATTTCCCTCCATAGAAAGTGAGGGGGGTACCTCCAGGCATCCTAGCGTCGCTCAGTGGTGGTGGAAGCAGAAGTCCTGGTGGTAACTTCTGGTGAGGATACGGAGGCCAATGGCCCATGGGGAAGGAAAAGTAAAGAACATGGGAAAGTCTCCATGTGGGAGAGATGTGGAAAAGAAGGTTTTAGAAGAAGCAGCTGCTGGATTGAAGAATTACTGAAGGGTGGAAAGGAAATTTTAAGATGTGTCACTTGGATTATGACTGCAATCTCCTTAAGTGTTTCTTAAAAGCACAATAAAAGGTTCAAATTACTTTTGGCTGCTGGACTAGTTTATTTGAGTGAGACACTATGCTAGAATCAAACCACTTGGGAACCAGAGATTTTATTCATCAAATATTAAGTGCCAACTACTGGGGATACAACAGTGAACAAGGCAGACCAAAAATCCTTTCTCAAGGGCTTATTAGGAGAGACACAAAGTAAATAAAATAAGTAAATTATGTCATAGATCATAAGGTGATAAGTACTATGGAAAAAATAAAGCAGGAGAGGCAGATAGGGAATTCCAAGGGAGGAACGTATTGCAAATCTTAAATATGGTGGTCAGCAAACTCCTCCCAGAGAAAGTGACATGGGAGCAGAGATTGGAGGGTGTGAAGGGTTAGCCAGGCAGGCAAAGTCATGGAAGAGTTAGAAGTAGGACATATTTGTGAACCAGCAAGGAGGCCAGCATGGCTGACATGGAGTGAGTATGGTGGGAGAGATCAGAGAAGCAAGGAGACCTAACCATGCTGACTGTGTAAGCCATTCTAAAACCTGTGGCTTTTCCTCTGGAGGGCTCTGAGTAGAGAAGTGATAAATACAGCTTAGGTGTTTTTTGTTTTTTTTTTTTTTAACAGAGTTTCACTTTTGTTGCCCAGGCTGGAGTGCAATGGCGCGATCACGGCTCACTGCAACCTCAGCCTTCTGGGTTCAAGCAATTCTCCTGTCCACCATGCCTGGCTGATTTTTTTTTTTTTTGTATTTTTAATAGAGACAGGGTTTTATCATGTTGGCCAGGCTAGTCTCGAACTTCTGACCTCAGGTGATCCACCCGCCTCGGCCTTCCAAAGTGCTGGGATTACAGGCAGGAGCCAGCATGCCTGGCCTGGCTTAGCTATTTTTTTTTTTTTTTTGAGACGGAGTCTCACTCTGTCACCAGGCTGGATGACAGAGTGGAGTGGCCCAATCTCGGCTCACTGCAACCTCTGACTCCCTGGTTCAAGCAATTCTCCTGCCTCAGCCTCCCAAATAGCTGGGATTACAGGCATGTGCCACCATGCCCAGCTAATTTTTGTATTTTTAGTAGAGATGGGGTTTCACCATGTTGGATGGTCTGGAACTCCTGACCTCATGATCTGCCCACCTCGGCCTCCCAAAGTGCTGGGATTACAGGTGTGAGCCACTGCACCTGGCCCTAGCTTAGGTTTTAATAGGAGGAAAGATAGAAAGGGAAGCAGATGTCAAAAGAACAGTTACGAATTATTACAAAAATCCAGTGACAGATGAAGATGGTGACATGAATATAGTGAGAAGTGTTTGGATTTATTATAATTATACATCCATGTACCTATTACTTATTTAGATTAATAAATCTTTTAATAAGTAGCTTAATAAACATTTATTGAGCCTTCATATAGATTATAATCTGAAACCCCAAACCCAGTCAGATCCAGAATTCTAGGATTCTAAGGAATCAGAGATGGTAGCCTGAGAAAGCAAGGAGCTGGCACCTTCCTGTCATAGAATCTACTGAGAAGCATAAAGAATGAGTTTTTGGCAGGTGACATTCCATGTGGACAGAGGACTGGGTAGGGGCAAAGGCCCTGAGCTGAGCAAGGGGAACTCAGATGAATAGGATGTGTTTGGAGCTTGGTGCATGAAAGAGTGTGCTGGAGTTTATGTCTCCAAACTAGGTGGGAGGCGATCATGAAGCGCATGGTGATGATGAAAGTTGCAGGATAGGGTTGGGTGTGGGGAGGGACTCTTCTTAGCAACAGCCACAGCCTTAAAGGAAGACCTGCTTTTCTCAGTCCCAACCTGTTCTAGGGGAAGGAGACAGCTAGTTTGCCTGCAACCAGTTGGGATGCTTTGAGACTCTGAGGCAGAGGGTCAGAGCTGGAAGAGCCTTCAACATCACCCAGCTACTTCCACTCATTGTGTGTGCAGAGGATGGTGTGGAAATCTTGGAGGCCAGGGGAGTTTTTAAGGTTAACAGTTAGAAAATGGCAGAGCTGGGCCTTTAGCCCTGGACAGAGTTTTGTCAATTGCACCTGAATGTGTTGGAAGCTTTATTCAGCCTCTCCCTTCTCTCCTTTATCCAGTGGGATGGGGACCTATTTCTCAGGCATCTTTGGGCAGGGACCCATCCATCTGAGGGTCTGGTTTCTGTTTCTGCAGGTAAATCATGGATGGCACAGATTTTGCCCCAGAATCAAGCTGGTCTTGGGCTTTTTCTCAGGAGTTTTGCCTTATGGCCCTTTTTTGCACCTCTTGTCATCTGCCTTGATTTGAGACTTGCTCCAGGCTCCAATCTCTTGCTTCTATGATCTGCTCTTCTCTGCCTGATGACCTACCTGAGGCTGGGCCCAGTTCTGTTTGCTGTCTCTCCATCCACCCATCTTCTGTACAAGGCTGCAATACCAAAGCCTCATTTCTCTCCTACTATAAACTCCAAAATACTCTTTTCTAAACCCAGCCTGTAAGGGCTCTCTTCATGTCTGTCCCACTTTCCTTTTTCTGCACACATTCTTCTCCTTGCATCCTTAGTTCTTTCCCTTTCTGTTTTAAATTCTGACATCTTCTTCCTCATCTCGTATTATCTTCCTTATTAATTACCCCACTACTCACAAAAAATGTTTAGGGACAGTTGGATAATTTGGCAAGAAAGAATCCTTTTGGGAGTAAGGGGTAAGCAGGGAAAGAAGCTGTGGATATTCACGCTTTGTTATTTTTTTGCTTTCACATCTGCTTCCCATAACAAGTAGGGCACTGAATTTCAGGTTTGATCTGCACTGTGTGGATGGAGCTGTTATGTCTACTTTTCTTCCTTCTTCTTTGAACTATGTATTTTCATGCAATGGACAAAGATTTCCATTCTTCAGATTGCAATTTTAGATGGCCACATGTGAGCTTCCTGGTAAACCAAACACTTATCTTCCTCTCATCTGCTGCCACCAGCTCACAACACCTTGGTTTGACACCCATTTGTGCCATTTCCCATGGCTTCAAGTTTTGATCAGTCTATGCCTTCAAATATCACCTCTGTTCTGATGACTGTCAATTTTATACCTCTAGCCCAACGATCTCTCCAGATTTAAACCTCTTTAGATTGTCACAAAGCTATCAGTCTCTGATAACCATTACAAGATTGCAACTAAGTTTGAGTCCCATAATTTTCTGGCCTTCATCTGAGGTAAGTTACTCAGCTTTTTTTGTTTTGTTACTTAGCTTTTGAGCTACTTTTTCCTCTCCTGAAAATGGGAGAGAATATGAATACCCACCTGAAAGGGAGGGTGGGAAGACCAAATGACATAATTCATAATTGATGTAGAAGTGCCTTGTAGCTTGTAATGGATGTAAAAAAGCCCTCTCCAAATCTTCATTGCCTTGTGAGTTGTATTTGCAACTTCAGCAGATACCAGATAAATTTAGAAATTGCCCCTGCAATAGACATATGTTGCCACCAGGTGGCAGGAGAAACCTGTGATGCAATCAACGAGGACAAACATTCTCAGAGAGAATTAATAAAATAAATTCTGATTGTTAGAAGCAGCCAACTCTTTAGTGTTTATTAAATAAACAACAAAGCTTATTTATAAATCACAGAAACCCGGAATACGCCAAATATGAATTCTCTAATAGAGGGTGTTTCAAACAGTTTTTAGGCTCTGGTGCTCATTTTCCAGCCGAAACCTTACATAGAACCCCAAGTATAGAAAGTAGATAAAAGTGGCAGAACTTTTTCTGAAGTAGGGCAGGGACACTGGGAGTTAATTCACTCATCTTCCTTCTTTGTCCTTGAGCCACCTCTGCCAAACCTCAGGTCTTCATGGGACAGAGTTCTAAACCACTGTTCTAATAACTGTATAATGCCCTTTAAAAATATTCCTTTGTCATTGTAAAAAATGCATGTTGCTTAAAAATATATAGAATTTTAGATAGAGTTTATATAAAATATAAGTTATAAATGTATATAAATGTATGTAAATATAAAATTATAAAATTTGGGCCAGGCTTGATGGCTCATGCCTATAATCCCAGCACTTTGGGAGGCCGAGGTGAGAGGATCCCCTGAGGTTAGGAGTTCGAGACCAGCGTGGCTAACATGGTGAAACCCTGTCTCTACTGAAAAATACAAAATATTAGCCGGGCATAGTAGCGGGTGCCTGTAATCCCAGCTACTCGGGAGAGTGAGGCAGAAGAATCCCGTGAACCCGGGAGGTAGAGGTTGCTGTGAGCCAAGACTGCGCCACTGCATTCCAGCCTGGGTGACAGAGTGAGACTCCAGCTCAAAAATAAAATAAATAATAAAATTTATAGAGTTTGTAGCATATAAAATATATATATATAAAATACAGAATTTTTACAGAATCTATATAGAAGATATACTATATAAATGTACAAATTTTAAGTTTTAGAATGAAAAAAAGAGTCATTTTTTGAGGCACTTTAGAAAGTGCCTTAAAAGAATATTTCTAACATTCCAAGCTGCTCTTTGTCTCTGACTTGAGCCTGTTGGATATTTTTTTACCTAGCTGTTGGTTCAAGATGGCAGACTGGGCACACACATTCAACGTCTTCCACCTTTAAAAGTGTGAACAGGAATAAGTAAATTCAATGTAAGAAGGTATGAAAATAAATGAGTTTATTAAAAAGTGAGCATGAAGGTGACATAGGAGAAGGCGAAGAGTTTCTAGAATATAGAAGGCAGAAGGCATATCATATTTAAGCTCATGCGCAAACCAGACTAGAGAGGGCCAGGGCTCAGTTCTGCCCTAGAGAAAGCAAGAGTGAAGTCCAGAAGTCCATGGTGTGGAGAAATGTAGACGGAAAGTAGGGGGAGTGGCCAACCTGGAGATAAGGAACAAACTATCTCTAGGATGGCTGCCTTGATCAGATTTTAAAGCCCCTCTGGCTACTAATGAGTGTTCTTCCCATCTAAGGCTGAAGGGAAATCAGTATTTTCTAAAGTAATCGAGAAATCTGCATGCAAGGGGCCAGGCCCCACAATATGGATTGTTGGAGTCCATAAGACCGTCTTCTTAATATAGGCTCTGAGGTCAGAGGATGTCAGAGACAGTGCCACCTACCTGTTCTGCTTTCTCACACCAGGAAGAGATACCTTCTAGTGAGCACACTTCCCCTACAGAGAGAAAGCCCACATTCACTCCCCTCACTAGAGGGGCAAACATAAACCCATCTCTCTTCATTGATTAACCTACCAAGGATGTCCTATCTTTTGGCTTCCCTGGCCCACATTGGAAGAAAAGTTGTCTTGGGCCACACATGAAAGACACTAGCACTAACAATAGCTGATGAGCTAAAAAAAGATAATTGCAAAAAAAAAAATCTCATAATGTTTTAAGAAAGTTGATGAATTTGTGTTGGGCTGCATTCGAAGCCATCCTGGCCTGCATGCATCCTACGGGCTGCGGGCTGCGGGCTGCGGGGGTTGAACAAGCTTGACCTATAGACCATTCTGCAGAAATGTGAATGGAGAGCCAGTGCTCACCAGGCTCGTGAAGAGGGTGAGCAGCATAAAATGAGAATGAACAAACAGAACTGACCCCAGAGAAAATGGGGACAATTTAGGGAAAATAAGGGAACTTTAAAAGGATTATGAAGAATGTGAATTATTCAAGATAACGTACTCATAAAATGAAAAGTGTATATTATGATAAAGAGGCCATAAGTGAACAGAGAAAATTCCATGGAGATTTAAAAATAAGATCCATGAATTTAGGCTGCCACAGTGCACAACCCTAGGGGCGCCCTTTGCATTGTAGTGCTGTAAATGGAGCTACCTGGATGTGCAGTGCACAGCTGGTGTGGTCACATGTGATGACCTGAATGTGGAGGTCAGGGCACCTGGGTTCAAGTGCAGACTATGGCATAGCTGGAGAGATGGCTTGACCTCTCTGGGCTTTAGTTTACTCCTGCTCTAAAATACTGTGGGGCCAGGGATATATTCAGTGAGGGCACAGCATGAGGCCTTTTTCTGTCTTTGGTTCCTTTAGATGTTAGAGGTACCCCTCCACTCTCCAGCACTTCCCGAAGGTAGCTCTGCTACTGTCTAGGTCATTTAATATATGCATTTAGCCAGGTGTGGTGGCTCATGCCAACACTTTGGGAGGCCAAGGCAGGTGGTTCACCTGAGGTCAGGAGTTCGAGGCTAGCCTGGCCAACATGGTGAAATCCTGTCTCTAATAAAAATACAAAAATTAGCCAGTGTGGTGGTGGGCGCCTGTAATCCCAGGTACTTGGGAGGCTCAGGCAAGAGAATTGCTTGGACCCAGGAGGTGGAGATTGCAGTGAGCCGAGATCATGCCATTGCACTACAGCCTGGGTGACAAGAGCAAAACTGCGTCTCAAAAAAAAAAATATATATATATATATGTGTGTGTGTGTGTGTGTGTGTGTGTGTGTGCATTTATAACCTGTTGGAACTCTTTCCGCCTTTGGAGCTGAAGCTGGGAACGTAAAGGAATTGGGAGAGCACCCTCTCCCACTGCCCCTCACCCAATCTTTGACTAGTCCCAGAACAATTCTTTCTTGGCAATGTTTCAATACTGGGCTAGTATATATGTCCTTCATAAAGATGAGAATATAGAAAAATCAATACAAGGTTTATGGAAAAGTTCTGTAGCACAAGAGAAGCATGGTAATGTACTGTGACTAAGCAAATTCACTTTCCTCTGAAATAGATTTAGTGCAAGTAAATGAAACCATTAAAAAAAATATCAATTCCTTAAAAAAGGATACTTTCTTCCATTAAACTGACCAGGCTGTTTTGGGGGGGTGGGAATGGGGGGTAAGAACATAAAATGATGCATAGAAATGAAAAAATGTAGTAGCTAAAATAAAATCCACATGTGGATAAAGAAAGTGAAGACACACTACCATAAAAAAGCAATTAGGCCGGGCGTGGTGGCTCACGCCTGTAATCCTAGCGCTTTGGGAGGGCGAGGCAGACGGATTGCCTGAGCTCAGGAGTTCGAGACCAGCCTGGGCAACACGGTGAAACCCCGTCCTACTAAAACACAAAAAATTAGCTGGGCATGGCGGCGTGTGCCTTTAGTCCCAGCTACTTGAGAAGCTGAGGCAGGAGAATGGCTTGAACCCGGAAGGCAGAGGTTGCAGTGAACCAAGATCATACCACTGCACTCCAGCCTGGGCAACAGAGTGAGCCTTTGTCTCAAAAAAAAAGAAAAAAAAAAAGAAGAAGAAAAAAAGCAATTAAATCAGGTAGAAGATGAACTTTAAATGTTCTCAGAGTGCAGAGGAAAAGGGCAAAGATATTCAAGCAATACGAAAGAAGATAGCAGCTATCAGCAATAGAGAGCAGAAATTCACTTCATACTTAGTAGGTATTCTAGAAAAAGGATCCATAACAAATGGAGTACAGGCAATAAACAAAGAAAAAGGCAAGAAAAGTCTTTCTGAATTGAAAAATGTCTTTAAAAAAATTGGATTTCAAAGAAAAAGAAACAAATTCTACAGGCATCCTGAACAGAGAAGAAAGAAATTGGTTGCTGACAAATGAGCAAAAAGCATTGTCAATGCTAAAAGCCAGAAAACAATGTAGTGATGCATATAGAACTTACTGGAGAATGTTGTGGTTCTTATGTGATGAGAATAGGAAGACACTGTCTGATATGTTTGGTGTCTGGAGAAATGTTTTGAAAAATATACACCTACATAATAGTGCTCAACAACTTAGTCATGAATTGTTCAGATTATTAAGATGTGAATTAAATTACAGTGAGCATGAGCATTGACTATATTAAACATATAGATATAATTTAAGTAATAGTGATAGATGTGGTTACACAGAAGGCAAAAGGTTATTTGTAAAGAAATTATACATATTATATAAATTTAAAAGAGAATATTATCAGAATTCAAAATTTTTATTCAATAAAATTTTATTCAAATAAAGGAAGGTAGAAAGGAAAGACTACAGGGCAAGAGAAAATGCCAGTGCTAATCTCCACATTTCCAATAGATTAGAGTAAAAATGACAGTCTGTGTATTTGATAACTAAACATGGATTTTAAAGTTTTAGATGCAATTTACCAGAATTCCAAATATTTGCAGAAGATTAAAACAAAGTGTGACTTATAGAGAAAATTAGAATGGAAAGGGAATATTAAAAAAACACACATACAGAATGCATAAAATGGCTTAGAAAGACCATGGTTAACAAGAATGAGAATAAATGTAAATGGTTTAAATTTTCCATTAAAAAAGGTTAAACATTCTCTAACTTGATCATAAAATAAATGCAATGATTTGCTATGTTCCTAGATATCCCTAAACAAAAATTACATAAAAAACAATAAAATTAGAAGGCAAAACCATATTAGAAAAACAGAAAAGAAAAAGAAAGCAGCGTGGTCATAGTAATCATTAATTGAGTCATTTAGAATCATTTTACATTGCTGGAAGTTTTGAAATAGATCAGTGGTTCTCTAAGTGTACACCAGAATCGGCTAGAGGCCTCTTAACAGATTAGTGGGCCCCACTCACAGAGTTTCCCACTCCTTAAGTCTGGGGAGGGGCCTGAGAATTTGGATTTCTAACAGATTCCTAGGTGAGACTGATACTGCTGGTCCAAGGACTACACAGTGAGAAACACTGAGAGTGAAGATTTGATGGTAATGAAACTTTATGTGCTAAGAAATAGCATCGAAATAAACATAGAAAAAAATTGGAAGTATAAGACGAGAATAACAAATTTCAACACATTATTTATGTTAAACAGAAGTAATTTAATAATACAATTAAATATTTTAGTTAATATCATTATAGTAACAGTATGCAAACAGAAATATATCCTTTCAACTGTTCATGGGATATTTGGATTTAATCACAGATTAGTATACCTTTATAAATATCTGTTTATAAAGATCAAGATAGAAACATACATGATTAAAGTTTTCAGTACATATATATTACACATAGGAGCTAGAAAATAAATGAAATACTAATTTTTAAAAAGTACAAATAAAGAATTATAAGTAAATAAGTTCAAAAATAGAAAACAGTAGAATTTATAAATAATTATTAGAACTAGTTCTTAGCCAGGCATGGTGGCTAATGCCTGTAGTCTAAGCATTTGGTAGGCCGAAGCAGGAGGATTGCTTGAGCTCAGGAGTTCCAGACTAGCTTGGGCAACATAGCAAGACCTGTCTCTACTAAAAATAAAAAATAAAAAAATTAGCCAAGTTTGGTGGTACATGCCTGTAGTCCTAGCTACTCAGGAGGCTGAGGTGGGAGCCCAGGAAATTGAGGCTGCAGTGAGCTATGATTGAGTCATTGCACTCCAGCCTGGGTGACAGAGGTCCTGTCTCAAAAAAAAAAAAAAAAAAAAAAACTGGTTCTTAAAAAACAAAGTTCTGGAAATTTTAATCAAGTTAAAAGTGGACAAAAATGTATATAAAAGTATAGTTCAGATCAGTAATATAATGATAAATATGCAGAATATTAAAAATTTAAGTAATGTGGACAATTGCAATAGTGAATTAGCGATTCCCCAAGAAATGGATGGGTTTCTTGAAGAAAAAAAATTAAATCTCAAAAAGAACTCCCCCACCACACTCTAGGCTGGAGATGATTATGTTCTTTCCCAATTGACAAGGATTGAAATATTTCCATATCATTTGCATTGGTTCTAGAATGTGGAACCTGGTGAGTTTAAAGCCAATTCAAAAGTAGTGTAATTGCCCGGCGCAGTGGCTCATGCTTGTAATCCCAGCACTTTGGGAGGCTGAGGTGGGTGGATCACTTGAGATTGGGAGTTCGAGACCAGGCTGGCCTGCATGGTGAAACCCCGTCTTTACTAAAAATACAGAAATTGGCTGGGCGTGGTGGCCCGTGCCTGTAATCCCAGCTACTGGGGAGGCTGAGGCAGGAGAATCGCTTGAACCCGGGAGGTGAAGGTTGCAGTGAGCTGAGATCACGCCATTGCACTCCAGCCTGGGTGACAAGAGTGAGACTCCGTCTCAAAGAAAGAAAGAAAGAAAGAAAAGTAGCATAATTTAAATATTCTCAATGGGGATGGATGAAAAGGAAATATATAGACCAATCTTGTGAATTTTAAATGTTAAAAAAATAAAAAGTGAACAAAGATGACACAACAGAACCAAATAGTTTATTCCATAAAGGAAAAGATTACTTTTAGGAGTTTATTACAATAAGACATCATAGCCATAGAGTCACAGTAAGACCCTTAAAAATGACTTTATTACTGCCTTAATAAATGCTGAAAAAAGTGATAAAACATAAAATACATAAATATTATTCTTGTTTTACTAGAAAACTTAGCATTATCAAGAGTATCTTGCCTTTGACAAAAACGTAGTTGGTGATGATCAGTTATGGTAATCTAGTTTTCATTAATTTTATAAAATCAGGGGAAGCATTTACAATTCCCCAAATAGAGAATTCAATTGGGTCAGTTTGCTCCTGCTTATATGGAATGCACCTCTTAAGTAGTGTGTGTATCAAGCTATCTTAAACGTTCCCTGTCTCCTTCATACCTTCGCTTCCCTGGTGCCATCATCTGTGGCTCCAGTGGTAACGTTGTTCACACATTACACACATGGCTCCAGCCAGGGCGAATATGTGGGAAAGACCTACTTGGGATTTCTTTTTTCTGGAGGAAAGTGAACTAGAAGGCATTTCTTTGACTTCCTTTGCGTCTTTGTGTACAGTTCACGGGTGTCACTTTCTGAGCCATACAGCATCTGTGATAGAGAAGACTCACTCAGGAGCAAGAGTTTGGAATGAAAGATAAGATAGTATGAACACACTTCTCCACTGCAGGAAACCTTAAAAATATTGCTAATGGCCTTTTGGTATGGGAAGCAGCAGAGCTGAGCCATCAGCACCCTCCCTGTGCTCTCCTTGCCCACTCTGTGGCTCTCCGCCCTCTGGGCTGCCATGACAGATCAGGCCACCTCCTTTGCCCAGGACTTCCTGGCTGGATGCCTCACTGCAGCCATCTCCATGATGCTGTGGCCCCCAGCGAGTGGGTCAAGCTGCTGCTGCAGGTGCAACGTGCCAGTGAGCAGATCATGCCTGACAAGTGGGTCAATGGCATCATGGACTGCATGGTCCGTATACCCAAGGAGCAGGGTGTGCTGTTCTTCTGGGTGGGCAATCTGGCCAATGCCATTCGCTACTTTCCCACTTAAGTCCTCAACTTTGCCTTCAGGTATAAGTACAAGTAGGTCTTCCTGGGGCGGCGGGGAGGAGGGGGCGTGTGGACAAGCACATGCAGTTCTGAAGGTATTTTTCAGGAACCTGGACTCTGGAGGGGCAGCCCAGGCCTCCTCTCACTGCCTTATCTACCCCTGGATTTTTCCAGAACCCATCTGGCAGCCAGGAAATTGGGCACAACGTGGGAGCTCGAAGGCCTGGGAGATTTTCTGGGGAAGATTACCAAGTCTGATGGGATCTGGGGCCTCTATCAAAGCTTAGTGTCTTAGGCCGGGCACCATCATCTACCTGGTGACCTCCCTCAGTGTGTACAATACAGCCAAAGGTGCACTCCCTGACCTCAAGAACACTTGTATCGTGGTGAACTGGATGATTGCCCAGACGTGATGGCCATGATCTAGTGTGGCATCGTAACCATTCAATACTGTGTGGAGGTGGATGATGATGCAGTGCTGGCACAAAGGAGCTGATGTCAGGTACATGGGGATCCTAGATTGTTGGACGAAGATCTTGAAAGACGAAGAGAGCAAAGCCTTCTTCAAGGGCGCATGGTCTAACATCCTCAGAGGCATGGAGTGAGCCTTCATACTGGTTCTAACGATGAAAGTCATCTAGGTGCCTCTATCTCTTTGAAAGCATGGGAGCCAAGAGAATCTTGAACAGTAAATCAGAAAACACTGTTAGGGACCATTGACCTTCAAGAAATTCCAATTACCTTTGTCCTGGCCAGATTATCTCTGTAGAAGGATGGAGAAGGCTCTAGAAAAGGAGCTCATTGTTATCACCCATTGGCACTGGATTCTATGTGATATGGCTTGGCTCTATGTCCCCATGCAAATCTCATGTTGAATTGTGATCCCCAGTGTTGGAGGTGGGGCCTGGTGGGAGGGAATTGGAACATGGAAAGGATTTCCCCCTTGATATTTTCTTGATAGTGAGTGAGTTCTCACAAGAGCTAGTTGTTTAAAAGTATGTAGCACTCCCCCCTTAGCTCTCTCTCTCTTGCTCCCCATAGCAAGACATGCTGGTTTCCCCTTCACCTTGCGCCATGGTTTTAAGTTTCCTGAGGCCCCCCAGCCATGCTTCCTGTACAGCCTGTGGAACAATAAGCCAATTAAACCTCTTTTCTTTATAAATTACTCAGTCTCAGGTAGTTCATTATAGCAATGTATTGATTACTGAGGGGGTGATGGGGGGACAGGAATCATGATGTCATTGTAGGCCCACAGGCGAGGCAGCTCCACTATTCAGACCTGGAGTCTAGATGCTTATAGGATGTGAGTTGTGTTCAAGTATTTATTTAAAACAAAAGAATCATGTCTCCGATTTGCACTTAACCACTAGTTCCTCTTTTGAATAGCCAAATATTTGTAATTATGTTTTATGTTGGACATTCTGCTGCAAAACAATGAAGACAGGACACTAAGGAAAAAAATATTGGTGATGGCACTGAACTTTCTATAGCTATGTGGGTTGCCGTTTTAAGTTATTTCCCTTGGCAATTAAATGACACAGTGACTTAAAAAGTGGTGCTGGGACCGTTGGGTATGAAAATGCAAAAGAATGAGGTTGAACCCTTACTACATACAATATACAAAAATTAACTCTAAAATAGGTTAACGACCTAAATGTGAGAGTTAAGACTACACAAATCTTAAAGAAAACATAGGTGTAAATCTTCACAGTCTTGGATTTGTCAATGAGTTTTAAAATATGGCACCCATAGCACAAGCATCAAAAGGAAAAATATAGTTTCATCAAAATGAAAAACCTTTGTGCCTCAAAAGTTTTCAAAGGACACCATCAATAAAATGAAAAGATAATCAGTTGAATGGAAGAAAAATATTTGCAAATCATATTTCTGTCATTTGTATTTAGAACATATAAAGAGCTGTTACAATTCAATAATACAAAGTGAAATACAATTAAAAATGGATAAAGGATTTCTCCAAAGAAGATATACAAGTGGCCAACAAGCACATGAAAAGAAGCTCAACATCATTAGTAATTTAGTCATTAGGGAAATGCAAATCAAAACCATAGTGAGACACTATACCTACCTACTAGAATGGCTATAATTAAAAATACAGATAATAACAAGAATATGAAGAAATTGGAACACTCACACACTACTTGTGGGAATATAAAATGGTGTAGCTGCTTTGGAAAAGTCCTTCAATTCTTCAAAAATTTAAATGTAGAGTTTCTGTATGATCAATAATTCTGCCCTTAGGTATATACCCAAGAGAAATGGAAATATATGTATGAAGAAAACACAAAAAACTTGTACATGCATGTTTATAATGGATTATTCATAAGAGCCAAAAGGTGAAAACAACTCAAGTGTCTACCAACTGATGAATAAAAAACAAAATGTGGTATATCTATGCAATATAATATTATTTGTTCATAAAAAGGAATGAAGCACTGATGTGCATGTATTAGTCTGTTCTCACAATGCTATAAAGATACCTGGGACTGGGTGATTTATGAAGAAAAGAGATTTAATTGACTCACAGTTCCACAGGGATGGGTGAGCCTCAGGAAACTTACAGTCATGGTGGAAGGGGAAGGGGAAGTAAGGCACGTCTTACATGGTGGCAGGAGAGAGAGAGAGAGCACAGGGGAAACTGCCGCTTCTAAACCATCAGGTCTCATAAGAACTCACTATCACAAGAACAGCATGGGGGAAACTGCCCCCATGATCCAATCACCTCCCACCAGATCCCTCCCTCTACATGTGGGGATTACAATTTGAGATGAGATTTGTGTGGAGACACAGAGCCAAACCATATCATACACGATGGGTATGAACCTCAAAAATATTATGCTAGATAAAAGAAGCCATTTACAAAAGACCACATAATTCCATTTATATAAACTGTCAGAGTAGGCAAATCCACAGAGACAGAAAAGATATTCGTGGTTATCTAAGGCTGAAAGGAGATGAGGTGTTTCTATGCTAAAGGATATGGGGTTTCCAAAAACTGCATGTTCTCACTTATAAGTAGGAGCTAAAGGATGAGAACACATGGACACATAAATGGGAACAAAACACACTGGGGCCTATCAGAAGGTAGAGGGTGAGAGGAGGGAAAGGATCAGGAAAAATAACTAATGCGTACTAGGCGAAATACCTGGGTAATGAAATAATCTGTACAACAAACTCCCTTAACACAAATTTACATGTACAGCAAACCTGCATATATACTCCTGAACTTAAAAGTAAAATAAAGGATATGGAGTTTCTCTTGGAGTGATGAAAATATACTAAAACTGATTGTGAGAATGGTTGGATGTCTCTGTACATATACTAAAATCTATTATATTGTACACTTTAATGGGTGAATTGTACATGAGTTATATCTCAATAAAGCTGTTATTTAAAAAAGCTAGAATATTGTAGACATGAGGGTCATATGTAGATTAGATCTCTTCACTATATCTTCCATGTCTCTCCTCTTTTCTTATGTTTAACAAAATATGTTTATCTTCCTGCTTAGAGTTTTGTGTTTCTCATTTATCTTCCACTTTGGTAATCTGATATTCTGTAGTATTTACCTGCTTTCATTACAACTTTAATTCCACAGTTTTGTTTTCATCTTTACCCAGTCTTTCCTGATGTCAGATTGTGACTTCTTCATGACTTTGATTTAGTTTCATAGGTGCAATATGTTCTTGAATCTTGCTGAGAATAAGACTCATGAATGTTGCACGTTTTGTCCTGCTTCTTGGAGGAAATCTATTTCATAAGAGCATTTTTTTTTTAAAGAAAATGGTTCTTCTGACCTTCAGTGCTATGTATTTATGTCATAGATATGGTGATTTTACTGTTTTTTACTTGGGGCATCTTACCTCCATGGGACCACTTTGACTGTCCTCCAGTGGACCAGCAATTAGCACCAATCAGCTGTCTGTTAAATGCTGTATATGCCCTGGGTAATGCCAGTCTTAGTGGTCTTCAGCAGGGTCAGTCTACATTGCTAATGGAGTGTTAACTAAAGTTTATTTGTCATATTTCCTGAAAATTTGAATGTGGGAACATCAGATATCTGCTATAAGTTATCATCTTAGCCAGTCACTTTCTGGTCAAGTTCATTTGCCAAAAAGTTTAATGTAGAATTGCCTATACATAGATTAGGATTATTGAGACTCACAGATGTATTGGCAGGAACTCAATTGGAAAAGCATTTGGAAAACTTCAGCTTTGAAACAAGAATGACTTATCATGTGATAATAATTGCAGGAAGAGGCAATAAAGGAGGCTTTTGTCAGAAATAGTGTTAGCTAGGTCAGTGGATCTAAAATTTGATTACTACCATACATAAAAATGAATTCCAGATGGACTCAAGAGTTTAAAGAATGTACAGTCAGAAAACAGATTAAAGTAAAAGAGAGTTGTTATTTTTTCCCCTCTAGCAGAATACCTTACCAAGTATTGAAGTCATAGAAAAATAATTATAAGAGAAAGGGTTTCGAGTTTGGACCCATAAAATGAAAAACTGTTCAAAAACAAAAATTACTGAAATTTAAAAGACAAACATAGTTTGGATGTATTTGTAGTGAAAATACAAAGTCATGGTGATAGTATTTCATTTCTGCATGGAACCTCAGGAATTACTTTGGTCAAATTTCTCCCTGGGGGCTTGTGGCTAAATTGCTGTGAGAAGGCCATCAAGTATACTGATTAAGAACATGGCCTTTGGAGTTTCAAGGCCTGGGTTTGAGTTTCAGCTTTACTACCTATTAGCTGTGTTACCTTAGGGAACCCATTCTCTTCTGAGCCTCAATTTCTTCATCTGTCACATGAAGGATGATCATAATCTCTACCTCACCAAGTTATAGTGAAAACAAGATGAGATAAAGGATTTAAAGTACCTAACAATGTCTGGCACACAGAAGGAGCTCAATATATGGTACTGCTTTTATTTATAATTGCCATCATCATCCTTACCATCAATCATCATTGTTATCATCATCATCATCATCATCATCATCATCATCATCATCACTACCTGTATTTGAATCCTGAATCAGCTTTCCTGAGTGTCAGAAGCTTTTTAGAATCTTCAAGGTGGCTTGTAAGAAGTCAGCCTTACAGGTGGATAAGGGGAAAATGAGGCCAGATTGGGCAAGATCCCAGCTGTTGCTTTGCTCTGGTTTCCTCTCTTCCCTCTGCTGGTTTCCTGGCTTCACACTGCTCTCCCTGATTTTAGACATTCCATCTCCTGGCCAGTCCTGATGTTCCAGGACACCGTGTGACACTGGGAAGGTTATAAAACTTTTCCGAGCCATAGTTTTCTCACTCAGAATTTGGGAATAATAATTTCTACATCCTTGCAGCTGTGGTGAGGATTTTCAAAAGTGCATGGTTATGAAATTTAGCATAGTAGCAGGCATATTGCAGGTCTTCCAAGACTCTTAATTAATTTTGAGAGAAGGTGACTTGCTCAATGTCACATATCTTATTGAACCAAGGAATGCCCTTGGGCACACAGTGTCTAACTATTGTTAGATTTATGGCCTGGTCTCATGTTAAATATGGAAAGGCAGGCTGTTGCTTGGATATGCAATGCTTGACCCAGTTCCCTCTAAGCTTCATATTCATCCACTTCGGAAATTCCTAGATTGGCTTTTCCTCACCAAGTAGTAATATCCTTTTAGCTTTCTGTGATAGCTTTCTTTTCTTTTATTTAATTTTTAAATACTTATGACCACTTTAAAAATACAGAATTTAAAGATCCAAATCTGACACCCTTCCCCCATGTAGCAGTTGGCAAACACACTAAAAATATGCTAAAAATTTTATGTGTGTACTTTTTTTTTTATCCCCAAAGAAATAATAAAAAAATTATACTTGCAAAACATGTAATGTGGGTCTTGAATCAAGTAATCAAGTTACTTCTGCCAGATGCCTCTGACAGCACCCAAGAGGGTCTGGACTCCTGGGGTTACTTTCCCTGTGTGCACCCATCTGCACGTCTGCACTTTGTGAGTGCGCAGGGTATAAGCTGTTTGTGGCCCACCCTTCAGTGCACAATTCCTGGTGTTAAAAGGCAATACTAAGGACATTTTTTTTTGTTTGTTTCAAACAGCATATTTTTGCCTCAACAGTCTGATGCTGAAGCAGACCTCCTCTGGAAAAGCAAGTCTGTTTCTTGTGCAATTCCTCCCCACTGCACCCCTCCCTTTCCAACCCTAGCCATATGCTTTTCCTATCTAACTCCCATCTCTTGGATGCCATACGGTTTGGCAGAATCTTGGCATAGGGCTCAGAGATCTGAAATTGTGTGGGGTGTGGTGTCTGACCACTCTCCCTTTGTCTGTCCGGCTTGACTTACTGCAGTAATATGGCTATGCATGGTAATATGGGCCTGATTTCCCCCTCAGGTAGTTGGAATCAATTGCATCTCATTGATATTGATATGCTCACCCTGATTTAAACATTGCCTTTTAATTTAAAGAATTTTATTGGGAAGGTGTTCTTAGCATATGTTCCCAAATGACATTATTCTTCTGTAGCTGTGATTCATTGGGAACGGATTCAGCAGGAGCTGGATCATATGCCCCTTTGGATGTGGTTTCTCTACCTACAAGTTGTAGTGCCACAGTGCCTGGCACCATTGATGAATGGCTGCTCATGACTTATTTAATATAGAAGATATACTTGCATTGTGATGGCCTCTGTACTGCAAACACTCCAAGGTCAGTTGTGGAAAACTGCAGAAAGGGCACAATATCCACTGCCATCTTGTTTCCCTGACCTCTGCCTTCCCCAGCAACTTCTCACTAGGTTCCCTGGCACCTTCCTCCCCTAGCCTACCTGCTAAAGCCTGTTCATTGCTAACCAAACTTTGGACGTATGCACTGCCAGGAGCTAGCCCAAGGCACTTATGTAGCTCTTTATCCATCCATTCATTCATTAATCCATCCATTGATTCACTCACTCATGAAACATTTACTGAATCCTTGCTCCCAGGTAAGTTCTCCTCTAGGCCCTGTGAAGGAGATAGGAAAGTAAGGGAAAATTGCTTGACAGTAAGATAAGAATCAAAGAAGAGATTTTAACTCAGCCGGGGCTAAGCAGAGAGGGGGTCATAGGGGAACAGTTCCTGGGAAGCAAACTCATGGAACTGAGTCTCCTTGCTTAACCAGCCCTTCTGCCTCCTTTCACACCACAGGACTGGTTCCTGCCTTGTACTTTACTAGTTACCTTCCTAATTCTCCATTCTTATCTTTGGGTGGATGTCTCTTCCTGAACCTCAGTGAATTTGTTGGAACCCAGATATTCTATTTAACTCCCTTTGTCCCTCTCCTGCATGATGGAATGTACTCAGCCCCCTGTCCATTGGCAGGGACCTTCCAGAGCCAGGTATACCACTTATTGGCTCCTGAGCTCTTTGGCCTCTGAATCTTGGACCTTACTGTTGGGTCATCCTCCCAAATAGTCAGAATACCCAACACAGGTATGTGGAGAACCAGACTTTCAGATCTGGGCTGGGGGCCACATACTTGTCCGGAAACAGGTTAGCATCCCCAGACCCTTCTCTCTGTTCCCACTTCTGGTTGTTTTTCTCCTCCCAGCTCAGAGTCCACATTTAACAATTGCCCCCATCCTGCACATCCTGCACCAAGATTCTAGCATGCCTTACATCTGAGCACATCTGAACTGTAAGTATAACTTACCTATATGTTGAATGAACTTGGTAGAATACAATCCAAGAATAACTTTATTGACACCCCCACTGCCACTGCTCTTCAAACCAGTTCTGTTGGGAACCCCTTTTCTATTACTAGAAAGCATTTCAAAAAAAGATAGAAGATTTTTTTTGTAATAGCAGGCATTAGAATAGTCTCATTTTTTGAGTATTAAAAAGCTCAATATGATTTAAATTAAAACTTCACTCTTTTACCAGATTCTATTTGTCCTCTACTGCCTAGCTTAGGACAGACCCAGGCTCAGCTTCCTGCCTTGGAGAAGGGAGATGTGGTCTGTTTTTGACTCTGTCTCCTGGCTTTTGCTCCCTCCTCTCTACTCACTTACTGCTTCTAGATAAGTGAGGAGGAAAAGCGAGAAGGAGATCTTATTTGACAACTGCTGGCATAATGGGACCTGATGCTTTGTGTGTGGTGATGGCCCACATGCTCAAGGAGATTCTATGAGTCCTTCAAGCCACATTCCTGGTCCTCCCAGAGATCTCTGACACTGCACAGCTCTCCCAAGTTGTTGATACATTCTCTAGCTGGCTGTCATAATCTGCTTCTACCTCCCTGAGCTCTTGCTCAGAGGAAACATCTCCAGACTTCCCACTGAAATCTCTTCAGTCTGTGGGCAATCTTCCTTTGCAGGGGTTTTTTCAAGATGACTGCAGCTTAGCAACTTTTGGTGAAGTTACCTTAACCCATAGGGAAACCTACACCCCTGCCTTTCCTTCTGAGGAAGTGGAGCTTGCTTGCACTGTGGCTGTCCTTCTCCACTCTGCAGTCATAGGCAGCTCCCTGGGGGCTGTGGTGAGGCAAAGTACACACCCTATGACCCTGCCATGGAGAGCAAAAGAGGATGCCACACATTTCCTGCCAGGCAGACAACAAAGAAACTCTTACTTTGACTCTGAAAGCTTGTTTAGGATGAACTAAGAGATCCAGGTCTCACTTGTGGCCACCTTTCAGCTTTGAGCTTTAGCCAAAATTCTAAGACATCAACACAATCGCCATTTAGCAAAGACACAGTGTGAGGTGTTTTATTAGGAAAATGTACCAGACAGGAATAGTCTAGCCTTGGAGAAACTTGTACTATATTGATTCATGAGCTGAGATGCCCTTACTGCTCAGCAAAGCACACACAGCCATGGCTAATGCTGTAATGGGCCCTGTTTTCCCCTTGATTGGTATGAGTCTCTTCCAGCACATTTTTAGCCATTGGATCTGTAGGAAAACCAGTGAAGAGCAGGAATTGAATGGAAAGATTGTTAGGTGGACTCAAGTCATACCTGCTGTGCACTGTGGGCCATAAGCATGCAATAAGGAGGAAAAAGGCATATTGATAAAAGCTGGTCATGGTGACAGGAAACATGTGTGCCATCAGTGAACAAGACATCAATGAGTATGACTCACTCCTCCCCCACCTGAGCCTCAGCCTGTGATGGTAGTGAATATGTATATGTATACATGCAAGAATGAAGGACAGAGTTCATTAAGAGTATTAAAGTGTGTAAAAGAGTGGATTAAAAAGTTGTGAGTGTTAAGAAGGTGTTATTTCAAGAAAGAGAAATCCCACTGGAAGAGAATTTGAGTCTGTGAGGTATGCATGTGTATGTGAGAGGTAAGTGAGGAAAAGGTGGAGAGAAAGAGAAAGTGATAAAAAAAGAAAAAAGAGAGATAAAAAAGAAAGAAAGAGAGATTTAATAGAAAAAAGAGAAAGAAAAGGAGAAGAGAAAGAGAAAGGAGAAAGAGAAAGAGGAAAAAATGAAAGGGAGAAAGAATGAGAGAGAAGGAGAAAGGAAAAAGAGAGAAAGAAAGGGAGAGAGAAAGGGAAAGTGAAAGAGAAAGGAAAAGAGGAAGAAGGGAATGAAAAAGAGGGAAAGAGAATGAGAGAAAGGCAAAGAGAAAGGAAAAGAAGGAGAGAGAGAAAGGTAGAAAGAGAAAAGGAAAGACACAAAGAGAAAAAGGGAAAGAGAAAGAGAAAGAAAGGGAAAGAGAAAGAAAAAAGGGGGAGAGAAAGGGAAAGGGAAAGAGAAAGGCAAAGAAAAAGGAAAAGAGAGAGAGAAAGATAGAAAGAGAAAAGATGCAAAGAAGAGAAAGAAAGGAAAAGAGAGGGAAATAGAAAAAGAGAGAAAAAGAAAGGGAAACAGAAAGAGAAAGAACAAAGAGAAAGAAAGGAAAAGAGAGAGAGAAAGGAAAAGAGAAAGAGAAAGGGCTAGAGAAAGATGTAGAAAGAAAAAGAAAGGGAGAGAAAGAGAAAGTGGAAAGGAGAAAGGAAAGAGAAAGTGAAAGAGGAACAAAGAGAGTTTATTCAACATAGATTATAGTCACATTCTCAAGGGGAAAAATATAATGTTCTGTGCAAATGAAAGAAAATTCAAAAATAAGTAGTCACAGTTTCTCCAGATGAGAAGGAACCAGTGGGATAATTCTGGAAGTATGAAAAAACAGTATGTTCTGACAGTAACCAAAATGAAATTTTTGAAGTGCAGATAAAGAATTCAAAAATATTTATTTTAAAGCTCAATGAGATCCAACAGAAGTCTGAAAACCAATCAAAGAAATCAGAAAATTAATTTAGAATGTGAACAAAAAATTTATCAAAGAGATAGTTATTAAGAAAACAACTTCTACAAAAGAAAAATTTATGAAAGTGATTACAAAATGCAGTTGAAAGCTCCAACAATAGACTAGACCAAGCAGAAGAAAGAATCTGAAAGCTTGAAGACATGTATTTCCAATTAATCCAGTCAGACAAAAAGAAAAAAGAATTTAAGAAAAATGAATAAAGGCTTTGAGAAGCCCGTGACTATGTAAACTGTTTGAACCTATGACTCTTAGGTATTTCTGAGGGAGAAAAAAAAGCAAAAAGTTTAGAAAACATATCTGAGGAAATAGCTGAGGAAAACTTCCCTACTCTAGCAAGAGACCTAGACATCTAGATATAAAAGACTCAATGAACTCCAGGAAAATGCACTGCAAGAAGGACCTTGCCACAATATATAGTCATCAGACTGTATATCAACATGAAGGCAAAAAAAAAAAAAAATCCTAGAATCAGCAAGACGAAAGTGTTAGTCACCTATTAAGGAAGCCCCATCAGACTAACAGTGCACTTCTCAGCAGAGATCCTATAAACCAGAAGAGATTAAGGTTCTATTTTCGAAGTAGTTAAAAAAAATTTGTCAGCCCCAAATTTAAAGTTCTATTTTCAAAGTAGTTAAAAAAAATTTGTCAGCCCCAAATTTGGGATAAAAAGCATTTTTAAACAAATGAAAATGGAGATACAACAACAAAAACTTCTGGAATACAGCAAAAGCAGTGCTAAGAGGGAAGTTCATGGCAAGAAATCCTACATCAAAAAATAGAAAGATAAAAAATTAACAACCTAATGATACAACCTAAGGATCTAGAAAAACAAGACCAAACCAAACCCAAAGCTATGAGAATAAATAACAAAGAGTAGAGGAGACTAAATGGAATTAAGACCAAACAAACAAACAAACAAACAAAAAATACAAAGGATCAATAAAACAAAAAGTTTTTTTGAAAGATAAACAAAATTGATAGACCACTGGCTAGATAAACATAGAAAAGAGAAGATTCAAATAAACACAATCAGAAATAAAAAATGAGACATTATAACTGATACCACAGAAATACAAAAGATAACCAGAGACTACTATGAATAATTCTCTGCTCACAAACTAGAAAATCCAGAGGAAACAGATAAATTCCCAGAAACATACAACTTCCCAAGATTGAACCAGGAAGAAATAGAAATCCTGAACAGACCAATAATAAGAAGTGAGATTGAATCTGTAATAAAACATCTCCCAATTAAAAAAATAAATAAAAAGCCCAGGACCAAATGGATTCACAGCTTAATTCTACCAAACATACAAAGAAGAACTGGTACCAATCCTATTCCAAAAAATTGAAGAGGAGAGAATCTTCCCTAATTCGTCCTACAAAGTCAGTATCACCCTGGTACCAAAGCCAGACAAGGAAACAACAACAACAACAACAACAACAACAACAACAACGAAACTACAGACCAATATCCCAGACTAACATAGATGCAAAAATCCTCTACAAAATATTGCTTGAGCAAATTCAACAGCACATGAAAAAGATAATACACCATGGCCAAGTAAGTTTTATTCCAGGGATACAAGGGTGGGTCAACATATGCAAATCAATAAATGTGATCACATAAATAGGATTTAAAACAAAAACTGTATGATTATTTAAAGAGATGCAGAAAAAGCATGTGATAAAATTCAGCATCTCTTCATGATAAAAACCCTCAATAAATTAGGCATGGGAGTAACATACCTCACAATAATAAAAGGCATACATGACAAACCCACAGTAAACATAGTACTGAATGGGGGAAAAGTTGAAAACATTCCCTGTAAGAACTGGAACAAGGCGAGTATGCCAACTTTCAACACTCCTACTCAACATAGTACTGGAAGTCCTAGCCAGAACAATCAGGCAAGAGACAGAAATAAAAGGTATTCAAACTGGAAAAGAGGAAGTCAAATTATCTCTGTTTGCTGATGATATGACCTTATACCGAGAAAACCCTAAAGACTCTGCCTAAAGACTCCTAGATTTGATAAATGAATTCAGTAAAATTTCAGGATACAAAATTCATGTGCAAAAACCATTAGCATTTCTATACACCAATAACAATCAAGCTGAGAACCAAATGAAGAACTCAATCTCATTTATAATAGCCACAAAAACAACAAAATACCTAGGAATATATTTAACCAAGGAGGTGAAAGTTCTCTATGAGGAAAACTACAAAACACGGATAAAAGTATTTATAGATGACATACAAAAAAAATGGAAAAAATACCATGCTCATGGATCAGAAGAATCAATATTGTTAAAAAAAACACATTGTCCAAAGCAATCTACAGATTGAACGCTTTCTCTATAAAAATAACAACCTCATTTTTCACAAATTTAGAAAAAATAAAACTAAAATTCATATGTAACAAAGAAGACCCCAAATAGCCAAATCAAGCCTAAGCAAAATGAATGAAGTGGGAGGCATGACATTACTTAACTTCAAATTATACTACAAGGCTATAGCAACCAAAATAGTGTGGTACTGGTACAAAAATAGACAAATAGATCAATGAAACAGGTTGGAGAACACAAATAAAGCTACATACCTACAGCCAACTGATCTTTGACAAAGTTGACAAAAACATACACTGGGGAAAGGATACCCTATTCAATAAATGGTGCTGGGAAAATTGGATAGCCATATGCCCAAGAGTGAAACTGGACTCCTATTTCTCACCATATACAAAAATTAACTCAATATGGATTAAAGAGTTAAATATAAGACCTGAAACTATAAAAATACTGGAAGAAAACCTAGGAAAATCTCTTCTGGATATTGGCATAGGCAAAGAATTCATGACTAAGAACTCAAAAAAAATGCAACAACAACAAAAATAGACAAATGAGACTTACACTCAAGAGCTCTGCACAGCAAAAGAAACAGTCGACAGAGTGAACAAACAACCTACAGAATGGGAGAACATATTTGCAAACTAAGCATCCAACAAAGGACTAATATCCAGAATCTACAGGGAACTCAAACCAACAACAACAATAAAAAACAATAAATAACCCCATTAAAAATGGGCAAAGGACATGAACAGACATTTTAAGACATACAAATTGCCAACAAGCATATGAAAAAAATGCACACCACCACTGATCATTAGAGAAATGGAAATTAAAACCATAATTAGATACCATGTTACACCAGTCAGCTGGCTATTATTAAAAGTCGAAAAATAACAGATGTTGGCGAGGATCTAAAAAAAAAATGCTTATTCACTGTGGGTGGGAATGTAAATTAGTACAACCTCTATGGAAAACAGTATGCAGATTTCTCAAAGAACTAAAAATAAAACTACCATTTGATCTAGAAATTCCACTACTGGCTATCTATCCAAAGGAAAATAAATTATTATGTCAAAAAGATACCTGTACCCATATTTTATAGCAGCACTATTCATAATAGGAAAGATATAAAATCACCCCAAATGTCCATTGATAAGTGATTGGATTTAAAAATGTTGCACGTGTATACAGTGGAACACTACTCAACCACAAAAAAGAATGAAATCGTATCTTTTGCAGCAACATGGGTGGAAGTAGAGGCCATTATCTTAAGTGGAATAATTCGGAAACAGTAAAATACTGCATGTTCTCAATGACATGTGGGAGCTAAATAATGTGTATACATGGACACAGAGGGTGAAATAATATACACTAGAGACTTGAAAGGGGGGGAAGTTGGGAGAGAATGAGGGATGAGAAAGTACTTAATGGGTACAATGAGCACTATTCAGGTGATGGCCACACTAAAAGCCCAGACTTCACCTTTATGCGATATATCCATGTAACAAAACTGCACTTGTTCCCCCTGAATCTATAAAAATAAAAAACAAAAGAGAAAGAGCACTCAGAAGGAGGGAGCTGCAGCAGCTTCGGTAAAGGTGCACCATTAGAAACACAAGCCCTCATACCCAGAAGTAAGGTAGACTCGGCAGAGACCAAGAGCCTGGTTAAGGGGGAGGGGTCATTGATAGTTTGGCTGACTGATGTGGACTTGGATCCTTGCCTTCTTTGACCTTTAATAATTTCCAAGCCACCCTGTGTAGTTAGAATCCAAGTCCTGGGATCTCCTTGGTAACCCCCAGTGCTCCAGTCTCCCATGACCCCAACAAGAAGAACTCAGTGTCACACCTGTTTTCACCCAGCCTGTTAGCCCATCTTCCCAGCTGTGTCTTTGCTCGCCCCTCTCCACGTGGCCCAGGTGGAGGAGATTTCAGAGAAGCTTCACAGCTTTTTTTAGTATGCTCTGCCTGCTTTGGAGTCAGAAAGCCTCGGCTTGATCTAAACGTTATCATTTCCTCCTGGACAAGTTTGGACAAGTCACCAAGTTTCTCCAGGCCTAGTTTCCACTTAGCCCCTATGGTGATTGCAAGACTTGAATGAAGTCACTGTTAAGTAATGCACAGATATCAGTTGTTAACAGAACTCTAAGGCAATAGTGTTAAAAATGTGTATAATTTCAAGCTAGGGAACATGCAGAAATTATTTTTCATGGCCACATGCATTACATCAGTGTTTTTCAACCTTTTTCGAGGGTAAGAATTACTTGGAACTCTCAGAAAATACAGATTGCTGGGCTCTTTGTCAGAGAATTTCTAGGGGAGAAGCCTGATAGTCTACAAATTTAGCAAGCAAGGCTTCCAGCTTCCTGTCAGTAGTCAAGTTTGGGAAATCTGCTTCTATGATGCTGTTTAATACTCAGGTGCTGGGAATCTGGTAGAGGAGGTAAGCATACAGAAGGGAGGTTGAGGGTAGGAAAGAAGAGGCTTTCAATAATCTGCTAGAGATGAGCACCGCAGCCTTATCTTTTAAGTGTGGGGCAGTACAGTTACCGTTATTAGTCCTGGCTGTGAATCAGTCAGGAGCCTTTGCACTGAGGCTGCCCTTCTCTCTGTTGCTCTCATCTTGAAGATTAACAGCCCTATTCTTCAGTGGCTGCACCTGTCTGAGGAAGTCAGGGCATACTAAAAGCGTGAAGGCAAGGAAGGGCACTGAGAGGTGTCCACTCTAGCTGTCACTGGGGCTCTGCGGGCAGGAGTCTGATGAGGGCAAAATGCTTTGGCCAAGGCGGGCTTCAGCTTGACCCAGAGGTGAGTTTGTCCAGCCCTCCCTGTCTCTTGTGGGTACAGAACTTCACTGCTCTGGTTGCATAAATTGACCGTCAAGGGCAGAAAGGACATTGCAGCCTACTCACCTCTTAGGAAACAGGACACCAACTTTGTTTTCTCTAGCAGAGCCTGGCTGGATGGTTACAATTGCATGTGCTCTACCAGGGAAAACTGTGGTGGGAAATGATATTTGTCACATCTAGGCTTGGTAGTTACAATTTTTCTACAATATTACCGGCTGCTTCCTTGTCTGAGCAGCAGGAAGTGAAGGTCTCTGAAACAGTAGAACTACACGATAAAAGCATTCAGATCCCTGATCCCAGGATGAAGAACCTGCCAGGCCCTTATGGGACCGTGGCAGCCATATGATATACAGCACTGAGATTTTAGGTTGTTATCATAGGTCGGACATCCCTGCAGTCCAGCAATTCTGTGATCATAATCTGTGTCCGATTCATTTTCACAACCCCAATAGCTAGAGACAGTGCCTGGAATTGAGTAGGTGCAAATGAAAATACTCTAAGTAGGCAAGGGAGGTATGGAGTCACGCTCACTTCGGCTGCTGAAGGAGGGCGATGACCTCTGTCTTTGTATAGTAAAAGGTACAATGCTAAAACACAAGTTTGGGGCCAGATATACTTGGGTTCAAATTTCTGCTCTGCCTCTGTTAGCCTCAGTCTTGACATGTGTAAAATGGACTTGAAAGCTCCAACTGCTATAATTGTTCTGGGGATTAACAGATGACATTTTTGACATAGTTACAGGGCTATCAGAATGTTCATTTATGTAATACATTGAGCTTGGTTCCCACCTGTGATCATCCCTGAATCCACGCATTGATCTTCTTCTGGTTGGGGGTATCTAAACATAAATGTATTGGACCTTTCTTATACCTGGGGAATAACTTGTTAAAAGGATGCAGAGGTTTCTCAGGACCATGGAGGCTAGAGATCAGCTGGATCTCAAGGGCTACTCTGCCCCTCTGGGCTGCTGCTTCATCTCTCATCCTCCACACTAGCCTACTCTGATTCTTGGCCCACAGATTTCACTGTTAGAGGCTCTCATTTTAAGTGACCAGGCTGAATTGACTGAAGTCTAAAGTCTTGGGCAGGAGGGCTCAGCCCACTTTACTGTAACATAAGCTCTGAGGGAATTATTCACCACTTCTCTCTCACATATACAAAATCAGTGCTTTTCAAAGTTACCTGATAAGAATCACCTGTGGAGCATATTAAAAAAATCCAGATTCCCCAGCACTGACTACAGTTTCTGGCACATAGTAGGCTATCAAAAATGAATGAACAGCCAGTGAATGGAGACCTGAAGTCCTCTTGCATGGTTGGGAGTGCATTCTGTACAATTTCCAGCAAAGGATGGGATGTATGAACAATCATTATATCTCCATGGCTGTTGTTTTAGATGTTAATAATGACCGGCCACCATTTACTGATCACCTACTCTTTGCCAGGCATTGTACTAAATGCTCCATTATAGATTGTGAAGCAGGTGCTATTGTTATTATCATTCATTCTCATATTCTGTCTGTCTGTCTGTCTCTCTCTCTCTCTCTCTCTGTCTAACACAAAGAAAGCTCAGAGAGGATAGTAACTTTCTTGAATTCCCACAGCTAGTGAGAAAAAGACCTGGGCTTTGAACCCAGGCAGTCTGACTCTAGCACTGGTGTTACACACTGCAACACACTTAACCACATCTCAGGCACAATGTGAGTTACTGAAAGTCTTTTACTGGAGCAATAAGGTTGGGCTCTCGAGTTGCAATTTAAAGTAGCACTTTGTTGATAGTCTGAGAGGCTGGAGGCAGGGAAACCAACCAAGCAAACGGGAAGAGATGAAGAGGTCTGGATCAGGACTGTGGCCGGGGTGGGTGTGGGGGTGGGGGCACTAGAGGGGAGAACCTGGAGGAGGTACCTCAGGCTCCCCACCCCAACAGCCCTGGGTGTCTGTTTCTGATTTATGGTCTTCCCATCTCCAGGCACCACATTTAGTTAAATAACCCTGTAGTGACTCTGGAGGGTGCTGTACCCCTTGCAGCTCTTAGGGCAGGTCCCTGGTGAGGAATAATGGTAATATTCTCTCCATGGCTAAGAGTCTTTCTGTGGGGTTGCCCCAATAAGCTCTCCCTCTAGCCCAGCTTTATAAATTTATGAGGTTGATTTGATTTGCTGTTGTTGATCATTTTTCCTTTTTGAACTTTTTTTAAGTAAATTTTTTAAGTTGACAGATAATATTTTTTAAATCATGTACTACATAAGCTTTGAACTGTGTGTAAGTGTGTGTATATATATATATATATATGTAGTGGTGGAATGGTTAAATTTAGCTAATTAACAAATACATTACCTCATATAGTTATCATTTTTATGGTGAGATCATATAACAGCCACTCTCTACATTTTCCAAGAATACAATGTATTATTAACTATAGTCACCTTTTTGTACAATAGGTCTCTTGAAATTTATTCCTAACTATAATTATGTAACCTTCGACCAACATCTCCCCATCCCCTCCTCCCCCGTAACCACCTCAGCCTCTGGTAACCACCATTCTATTCGCTTCTTCTATGAGATCAACTTTTTTAGATTCCACATATGAATGAGATCATTGGTTTTCTATGCCTGTCTTATTTCATGTAATATAATCTCCTTCAGGTTCATCCAAATTGTCTCCAATGACAGGATTTCATTCCTTTTTATGGCTGAATAGTATTCCATTGTGTATATATACTACATTTTCTATATCCATTCATCCATTGATGAACACTTAGTTTGCTTCCATATCTTGGCCATTGTGAATTCTTCTGCAATAAACATAGGAGTGCAGATATCTTTTCAACACACTGATTTTACTTTCTTTGGGTATTTACCCAGTAGTGGGATTGCTGGATCATATGGTAGGAACCTCTGTGCTGTTTTTGATAATGACTGTATCTTTCTGAACTCTCTAATGTTCTTTCCTTTGATTTCTACTCAAGAGTCTTATTTTTTATTTTTACTTTTTTTGAGACAGAGTGTTGCTTTTTCACCCAGGCTGGAGTGCAGAGGCGTGATCTCGGCTCACTGCAATCTCCACCTCCTGGGTTCAAGGGATTCTTGTGTCTCAGCCTCCTGAATAGCTGGGATTACAGGCATGCACTAACATGCCCAGCTAATTTTTGTATTTTTAGTAGAGATGGGGTTTTGCCATGTTGGCCAGGCTGGTCTCGAACTCCTGACCTCAGGTGATTGCGCGCCTCAGCCTCTCAAAGTGCTGGGGTTACAGGCATGAGTTGCCGTACCCAGCCTACTCAAGAGTCTTCATCCTTTTCTATTACCTATATGCTTACATATTTTTTCTGTTTGATTCATAACAATTGCCCTCTTCATTCCATTTTAGTCCATTCCATCCCAGAATTTCCTTCCCTCTGTACCTTTATTGAAGCAGCTTTATATGTTGAAAAGAGCCAGAAACCTAGAATCTGGAAAACTGAATGTCCACTGACAATTTGATAATTAGCTTCAGCCTTTATCTTATTGTCAGTAAAATGGGGGTAATTTACCTTGGAGAGTTGGTGTGAAGGTTAAGTGAGAAGATGTTTGTAAAAGGGCTCTGTAAACCCTATGGTATTATATAAAATGGTAGGTTTTTTTTTCAAAGACAGGGGCACCTCTCTCTCCCAAGCTGGAGTGCAGTGGCATGATCATAGCTCACTGCAGCCTTGAACTCCTGGGCTCAAACGATCCTCCTGCTTTGGCCTCCCGAAGTGCTGGGATTACATGCGTGAGCCACTGCACCCAGCCATAAATGGTCATTGACCTAATTTCATTTTATTGTTCATATTTTCTTCACCTTCTGTAACCCCCTTCTACTCTGCTCTTGCTGATAGCTTCTCTTCGGTTCTGCAGTAATTCTCAATAACAGGAATTGCTAAAGTGCAGTACGCTTCCCTGGATATTAGGTAGGGCCTGATTTAAATGGTCTGGCCAAAGAGACTCAATTGGCACTTCCTCTTCCCTACACAAAGTGGGATTTTCCCTTCTAAGGTGATGAGAATACTCTTTCTTCAGGTTTCAATTTGTAGCAATACTCTCTTTTAAAAAAGTAGTTATAGCAGTACAGTAGATGCTTGTATAAGGTTGTTTTATTCAACATCATTTTGTTATAATGATTGAAAATAACCTCGATTTTTGGCTGGGGTCACTCTCTGTGTGGAGCTTTCGCGTTCTCTCCATGACTACGTGGGTTTTCTGTGGGTACTCTGGTCTCTTCACACATACTAAAGATGTGCATGTCAGATGAATTGGTGTGTCAGTGTGAGTGTTGGGTGTGTGCATGAGTGTGGGATGGTCTTCTGTCCAGGGCTAGTTCCTGAGCTGGCCACCTGTGATTGTGAGTTGCCGTCAGTGGGTATATAATTACCTTACTAGTTTTTAATAACCTTTCTTAAATGTATGTACAACTCACATTTATTTCAGTGTTTAACATTAGAAGTGTTCTGGGTTGTTATTTAGAAGTTTGGTGATGTTTTTGTGACCAGCAATATGCCATGAAAACTTAACTCTGGTTTCTATCAATTAGCCTATAATAAAATTGGTTTCATTATACATCGTTTTACTTAACATTGCAATTTCTAAGAACCTATTGACAATGTTAATTGAAGACTTACTGTACTTTATTTTTAAGAAAGTAAATTGTCAGTCACATTAGGGGATTGTTTAATGACTTGGTAATTGTGTTGGCCAAAAATATTTGAGATCAAAATTAGTAAACTCACTAGGAGGTGAAACATCTTTAAGTTTGCAAGCTGGGTTTGAATAGTGTTTTCCAAATTTGCTTGATCTTAAGAATAACAGGGAGCACTTATGAAAATACAGATTTCTTGCTCCCAATTAGAACGAACAAATCTTCCCCAGTGAATGATTCTTATCAGGCAACATTGGAAAGCACGGATTTTGTACATTTGTGAGATATTTTTGGTACCTGTATTAGGATTCCTTCCTTAACCCCAAATAACAGTAGATTTTAAACGTGAACACATTCAACATATATATTAACAAATCCAGTGTTTGCAATTTTTTTTGCACATCCACTCACAGAAAGCAAAAGCAAAACACTTTCCTCTGTAGGTCAATTTAAGACATTTAGAATATTGGGTTATGAGTTAATTCAGTCTCTATAGTCTTCCTGTTTATTCTTAACCTAGAAAAAGAAAGATGAACTCCTTTGCTTTTTTAATTCCCCAAAAGAATTTGCTCAAAGAGATATTTTCTCATATCTACAAAAGAAACCATGACTATTAGAAGTTGGATTATCATTTCAATAGTTTCTGACATTAAGGGATTCTCAACCTATTCCAGTAAGGCTGATTTTTAAGATTCAGATGGAAAAACAGGCACTATGCTGGGTGATTTCTCGTATATAATCTCATTTAATCTTCATAGCAATTTAGGGAGCTGGTGTTTTAGATGTTAACAATGACTGGGCACTGGTCATTAATTTAGTGGGGCATTATTATCACCGTTTTGCAGGTAATCAAATAGAGGCTCTGAGAGTTTGGGGAATTTGCCTCAATATGTTGCTATTAAATGCTGTGGTTTTCTTAAAAACCTCATTAACAAGAATCACTCTTACACCTGACATGGATTGCTGTTGGATCTGCATAGTTGACTTTGGGTATGCTTTTTTTCAGAGATTAATGATTAACTTTAGTATGGAGAACAACAGCAAGAATATTGGTAACATGCAGAAACACTTTTGCTTTAATAGAAAGAGAAAGGGGTTTTATAGTCAGGAAAACTACTTAGGAGCTATGTGAGTTGAGCAAGTTACTGAACTTTTTTCAAACTCAGTCTCTGAAAAATGAAGACAATAGTGCCCAATTCACTCCTCAGAGAAGATTATGAGAAGTGAATGAAACAAAGAATTTAAAGGGTCTAAGAGTGTCTACCACATGGTTAGTACTTATAAAGTTTCCTTCTGTCTTTCTTTTCCCTTCTGGTCACAACTGGAATAACTGCCTGTCATTTTACATTTTCTCAAGCTTTCTGCTAATGCTTTCCTAGCTGCAGTAGGATTCTGAATAATAATCTTTACATATATACATAATAACTGACATTTATTGAGTGTTTTACATGCATTATCTCCTTGAGTTCTCCCCACAACTTTATGAGAAAGATATTACTATCATTTTTAGCTTACAGAGGGGGCAGCATTGTAAATCCGTGAACCCGAAGTAGCATTCTGTGGGAGCACACAGCAGGGGCTTCTAACTGGGTTGGCAGAATCAGAAAGACTAGAGGAAATGAGTTCTAAGCTCAGTCCAGAAGGCTGAGCAGCAATCAGCCATTCAACCCTCCTAGTTTAAACCCACAGCACACTTTTTAAGAGCAAGATGTAAACTTAGGTTATGCTCCTGAGATGTTAGCATTGTTTATTTCCACAGTGCAAGCACAACATACCCTGTGGTCCAACAGCCACCATCCCTGACATTCTCTGATTCCTTATTCTGCTCTATTGTTCTTCTTAGCACCTAACACTATTTAATATTAAATTACATATTAATTCACACATTTGCCTGTTATCTATTTTCCTCCAATAAACTCCATCAGGGTGAAGATCCCATGGAGTCTTTGTTTTGTCCACTGCGGTATCCCTTTCATCTAGTATAGTGGTTGGCACACAGCAGGTGCTCAATAAACAATTTTGAATGAATAAACGATCTACACCTGTCATACATTTAACACATAGCCTAAGATGTTTCTATTTACATTTAACTAACAAATACTTCTTGTGCATACCTACTGTGTGCTGAATAGACCAGGGAATTTCACAGTAAATTATATGTCTACCTCCCCTGTGATAAAATCCTGAAGGACAGAGACTTATCTTTTGTGTTTCTGTCCCAGTCCCTGCACATAGCAGACATCCAGTAATGTTTGTTGAGTAAAGGAATGATTTGCAAGCCTGTGAGGAAGGCATTATTAGCATCTGTAAAGAAGCAAATGAACTGAAATGATGTTCCTGAGTTTACACTACCAGTAAGAGACCAGGCTCAACTCTTGCCACTGCATCACACTAAAACATGTGTTCTTGCAAGAAGACATTATTCTCTTCAGTTTTCATTCCAGTATAGCCTATGAGTTATTATGGACACCCATTAGACTGTAAGTCCTTTGAGGGCAGGGCCATGTCTGGTTCTTTTATCTCAGTATCACTGGTACCTACAAAATGTCTGGCTAATAGTGATAGGAACTTAATACCTGTATGGAAACAATGAACAAGTTCATTTTAGAATACATTTCCTTGTAAATGTGTCTGTTTCTTTATGACAAACTTTCTTGAGTATTTTACCTTTTAAGATGTACCTGACTGGAAGACATGTACCTGTTCTAAAGACTGTGCCAGAGTGTGGGGGGCTTGTCCGGTTCACTTGAAAAGCTCACTTGAACTTCCTTCCTCCTTTCTTCTCTCTTTTGGGCTTTGCAAGTTCAGCACTCAGGGGATGCCCATGTCACAGGTACCTTGCCAGCAATAATGGCACATTGTCCCCAGCTGGGTGATAGGCCTTTAAATTTAGGTTCTTTGGGTATGAGGGTCAGGTTGCCACACTCACCCACAGTGATAACTGAGAGAAAAACTAGCTTGCTTTTCTCTCACTATAGTTTTGGTCAGGAAACAAAGTGTATGAAACTTGCAAACTCTGGAGTCAGACTGCCTAGTTTCAAATCCCAGCTCCAGCACCTACTTGCTGTGTAATCTTGGTTCAGTCACAAGACTTCTCTGTTCCTCAGTGTTCTCATCTGCAAAATGGGCATAATAATTATATCTGCATAATTAGTGTGTGTATCTCACACGGACCTGTGCAAGCACGTAGTCAACACTAAATAAATGTTATTATAACTAAACACATTTCTATTATTTATTTAAACAAATTTTGCTAGTGCCCATTAGGACTCAGGACTTTGTTCAGTGCTGGAGATACAGTAATGAATAAGACACAGTTCCTGCCCTCAAATTGCTTGCAATCTTAAGTGGGTAGAAAGATAAGAAAATGGGTAGTTATTGTACAGTGGATGAGTGCTGGGAGAATAGAAGTTGGGGATGTCTTGGAAGCACATGCAGTGGCTTCTAACGTGGTTGGTGGAGCCAGGAAAGACTGGAGGAAATGATTCCAGGTGAGTCCAGATGGCCAAACAGGAAACAAACATTCAAAGTGTTGTGGTGTGGGGTAGGTCAAGGGCATTCCAGGTAAAGGACTAGTCTGTACAAAGGCTATTTGGAGGCTAAAGGGAATATGTGGCCTTTGGGAGAGTGTACATGGTTCAATATGGCTGGAATTTGGCTTTCTGTGGATGATATGGCCTGAGGTGGGGAGTCAGGGCCTGGAGGGGGTCCTACAGGCTAGTGTTTTCAAAAATTTAATGTGCTGTCAAACCATCTGGAAATTTTGGCAGAATGCAGATTCTGATTGAGTCAGTGGTAAGCTCTCAGATTTTGCATGTCTAACAAGCTTCTAAGGGCTGCTGCTACTGAATCACTTTGAATAGCAAGGGAGTCAATATTATGAAGGACTTGATTGTATTCTGCAAAAAAACGAAGGGTTTGAGTTTCTCTACAGATGAATGCCTCCTCATCCACTAAGATAAAACTTACTGTAGTTTTTATGTTTCTATGTTAGTTTGGCTTATTGGAATGTTTCTCAGAGAATGTCGAGGAGACCTTCTGCATCGTAATCACTGGGGGATGCTGATTAAAACTGCAGTCTCTCCTTGTTTATGGCAGATGACAAGTGCTGACTGGTAAGTTGAAGGGAATGCTGGAGATAGAACAGCGACGTTTTGCAACCATCATAGTAAAGACTGGTTTGGGTCAGACATATCAATAGTTGCTAAATTTAGGGGAATTTTGATTAAGATCAGGACATTTGCTTGAACTTGTATTGTTACTACATTTTAATAAATGGTATATTAGAAGCAAGGAAAAATATAGTTTCTATACAGTGGAGAGTGTGGACAATACCTTGACAGTGTTTTTTGTTTTGTTTTGTTTTGTTATGTTTTGAGACAGAGTCTCGCTCCTTCACCAGGCTGGAATGCAGTGGCGCCATCTCGGCTCACTACAACCTCCCACCCGGGTTCAAGTGATTCTCCTGCCTCAGCCTCCTGAGTAGCTGGGACTACAGGCATGTGTCACCATGCCCAGCTAATTTTTTGTATTTTTAATAGAGATGGGGTTTCACCATGTTGGCCAGGATGGTCTCAATCTCTTGACCTCATTATCCACCCACCTCAGCCTCCCAAAGTGCTGGGATTGCAGGTGTGAGCCACCGCACCTGGCCAATGGTGTTTATATTTAACATCATCAATGAGGGGCAGACAGACCGTGCAGGCCTTGAGACATGATACTTTGAGATGGTCACACATCATATGGTATCACAGCTGGAAATGCATAATCTGGATCTACTCATGAAAAACATCAGTGTATATTAAAGAATTTGACCTTGTACCCTCAGCTTCTGGGAAGTAACCTGTGTTGTATCTGTTGCAGCGTTTTTGTTCAGGATGGAAGCTGGCCACGCCTGCAGTCTTAAGGTAGGGCTGGCCATACCAGAAAGACCAACCATGTGAATATGGCAAGGGCTTTGGGTCATATGATATTGGTAGACCTAGAGACTGAGTCCAACCCTGGGGCAATTAATCAATCAATCATGTCTATGTGATGGAACCCCTAAGAAAACTGAGCACTGAGGCTTGAGTGAGCTTTTCTCACTAACACTTGTGTGTATTGTCACACACAAATATCTGGAGGGTAATGCATACTAACTCCATGGAGAGGAAAACAGAAACTTCACATTTGGAACCCTCCAAGACTTTGCTCTATGGCATCTCTTCCTTTGGCTTATTTTAATCTATATTTTTCCCTGTAATAAACTGTAACCATGGGTATAATAGCTTAAAGTGAGTTATTCTAGCAAATTATTGAAACTTCAAGGGATTTTGGGAATTCCCTGAATTTGCAGTTGGTATCAGATGGGAGGACAGACTTGGGGACTGTGGCCTCACACTATGTAGTTTTATTAGCTTGGCAATCAGAAAACTCCAAATGAGGAACTGTCTATTTTTAAAAGTGGATGGTATTCTTCAAAAACTGTGAATGTTTGCCAGGCATGGTGGCTCACGCCTCAAATCCCAGCAATTTGGGAGGCCAAGGTGGGTGGATCATTCGAGGTCAGGAGTTCAAGACCAGCCTGGCCAACATGATGAAACCCCATCCCTACTAAAAATATAAAAATTAGCTGGGCATGGTGGCACATGCCTGTAATCCCAGCTACTTGAGAAGCTGAGGCAGGAGAATTTCTTGAACCTAGGATGCAGAGGTTGTGGTGAGCCGACATTGCGCCACTGCACTCCAGCCTGGGAGACACAGTAAAACTCCATTTCAAAAACAAAAATAAGACAAATAAAACCAAAAAAACAAAAAATGTGACTGTCATGAAAGATAAAGCAAGGCCAGTGACCTGTTTCAGATTAAGGGAGACTAAAAAGACATGACAACTAAGTGCAATACCCAAGCTTAGACTGGGTTCTGTACTGGAAGAAAAAAATCAATACAGGATATAAAGTCTATTAATAAAATTGAAAAGTGAATGGTAAATAATTATATCTATGTTAAATGGACAAAAATCAGTAACTCTGGTTTGAAGAGAGCACGCCTATTCTTTCTAGCAGCTACACACTGAAGTGCTTAAAGAGCCATGATTTCTCAAATGTTTTAGAAAAATTATGTACAGAGAGCAAATGATATAGCAGGCGACACAAAATATTATCAGGATATGAATCTGGATAAAGAGTAAATGGGTGTTCTTTGTGCTATTTTGCAACTTTTCTAGGTTTGAAATTATTTTCAAGTAAGAAGTTACATAAATTACAGGCACTGCACCTAGCACCCAGATCTTGGTTTCTAAAACTATTCTCTAATAAAAGAAATCAGCACTCCTTGCAGAAAAGTATTTTAGGAGTGGAATAGAAAAAATATAAAATGAGCATAAGACATCCTGTAGTGCCTGAAAGTAAGAAAGTGCTCAAAACGGAACAAATGAAAACCTGAATTGATTAAGGGTATATTAAAGGGAAACAGGAGCCAACCCAATGGCCAACGTTGGAACAATTTGTGCAACAAAATAAAGTGTAGTGGATTTTAACCTAAAGTGTAAAATAAATAGCCAATAATCTATGCTGACATAAAAATGATTGAATAAATAAATAAACGAAGAGAAGATGTAAATTTCCCATGTGGAAGAATTCTGAATAATTTATGTAGATTCTCTGCCCTCAAGAAGGGGAAGGCATAACTTTCTACTCCATTCATGTGGGCTGTATGCAGTGACTTCCTTCCAAAGAGGACAGTATGGAACTAGATTTAAAAAAATGCCCTTCATTGGAGAAAACTGACAAATACTACCTGAGTCAGTTGATCAACATCAATATCAACAGTGATAAACCCTGTTGATACTGTATACACTTTATATGATGTGATGAAAATGATATTTTACCTCTGTGGTTTTCCTGCCCAAAACCCACGACCACAGTGCAATCATGAGAAAAACATGAGATCAATTCCACTAGAGGGACATCCTATGAAATACTTGACTAATATACCTCAAAACTGTCAAGGTCACCAAAAACAAGGAGAATCTGAGGAACTGTCACAGCCAAGAGGAGCCTAAGGAGATATGACAATTACATGTAATGTGGTATCCTGAATGGGATACTGGAATAGAAAAAAACACATAAAATGTATCAATATTTGTTCATAAATTTTAACACATGTACTATTCTGATGTAAGATGTTAAGAATAGGGGAAACTGAGTGAGGATATATATTGAAACTCTCCAAACTATCATCTCAATTTTCCTGTAAATTTAAAACTGTCCTAAAATGTCTATTAAAAAAAAATGCAAGTCCTAGATTAGGTCACTGGGAATGGGGCCCGGGAAGTGGCATATTTATAGACTCAGGTAATTCGGATCAGTCAATGATTAAAAATCACTGATCTCACACTTAAAGTCATTTGGTTGCTCTGTTTCTCCCCAGCCAGACATGACTTAGTCAAGTTCTCCTTGTCTCTGAGACCCTGGGCTAATTTGAAGCCTGGCCCAGGAAAGCGCTCCATGTACACTGACTGAATAATTAATATTAAAGACCAGTTCTGTATGTGTGACAGCTCAGGTGGAGAGTGACAGTTAAAGCAATATTCTCCTCAGTTCAATTTCAACTAATCCTCATGAGTGAGCACTTGCTATCCATCAGGAGTCAACAGATATTTACCTAGGGCAACCCACTGCAATTGTTAATGATTCATTCTTCTCATTGAGCAGTATTCGAAAGGAAGGAGTTGCCACTACTCAACCTTGGGGACCTGTTCTCTGGGGAATTGGGCAGGGAAACTAGGGAGGAAATGAGCCCTAGCTGTCTGCAGACATCAACAGTGCATGCTAGGGGAGCTGCTTTCTGTGTCTCCAACTGAGCAGAGCTGGGAATGGAGCCAGGCTATTGCCAGGACCACCTGCCTGCTCATTCACAAACACTTATGGGGCACTGGCTTCCTGCTGCCTGGCCTGGCTGAATGCTTGGGCCAGAGAAGCACTGCCATCCTAGGGATCCCCTGCTGAACACTCGAGAAATGCCAGTATTGCCCCCTTGCTCTGCTGGCTTCCCCATGGTCTTGTCTTTCTTTTGGTCATTTTCTTCCTAGTTGGCTGCCCTTTCCTGGCATTGACCTTTGGCTCTAGCTACAGGTCCTATTTCTTTTTTTTTTTAATTCTGGGGTAACATCTTTGTGATTGAAACTTTGCTAAAGACACTCTTTGGCTCTGCTCTGGGACCTCCATCATGTTCTGCCTGTGTAGGGACCAGTCCTGAAGAGTATGTGGACTATCAAGGCAAATTTAAGAGCAGTGTTGGAAAAGGGCTCCTAGAAAAGAAACAGGAATAGCAGCTTGCTCACTCTCTGCCAGGGTACTTTGCTAGTGTCACCCCAGGTACCCTTAAAAACAGCCCAGTGAACAAGTGTACCAATTTTCCAGAAGAAGAATTGAGGCTCAGTAAGATTCAGTCGCCTGTATCTAGTGAGTGACAGAGATGGTCTTTGAATGCAAGCAGTCTCACATCATTGTATAAGCTAGGTTGGTTAACAGAGACTAAGTAACAGTGGCTTAAAACAGAAGGTTTATTTATTTCTTTTTTTTTTTTTTTTTGAGATGGAGTCTCGCTCTTTCGCCCAGGCTGGAGTGCAGTGGCGCCATCTCGGCTCACTGCAAGCTCCGCCTCCCGGGTTCACACCATTCTCCTGCCTCAGCCTCCTGAGTAGCTGGGACTACAGGCGCCCGCCACCACGCCCAGCTAATTTTTTGTATTTTTAGTAGAGACGGGGTTTCACTATGTTAGCCGGGATGGTCTCGATCTCCTGACCTCGTGATCCACCTGCCTTGGCCTCCCAAATGTTTCTTTATTTCATAAAAGTCCAAGCTAGGATGAAGGGATGGAGAGTTGGGTTGGTGTAACAGACACACCTGTACCCCACCTAAATCACCCCAACATTCACCATTTCTATGCACCCAGGCCTACTTCCACCTTCTAGCACCTGTGCCTGCCTGAGGGCTCTCCCTGACACCAGAGCACTCTGCCTCGTGGTGCAGCAGGCTTACGGTGCCAGGCAATAAATGGCCCCTTCCTCCAATATCCCTCAATCAACTTTTGCAGGTGTTGGTATATATAAGTACCCCAGCTTCCCCTTACCCCCAGGGCAGGACAGCTTAGAGTCACATTCAACACATTCCTCCAGTTTTCCCATTTTGGTTGAGATCCAGCTGCCCATAGTGGTAGCTGGCTTGGTAATGTATCATTGGTTTTCTTATCTTCTCTGTTTCACTTCCCCACTCCCCTCCTGCTGTTTCCTGGAATCACCTCTGAAATAAATGCATTGGAATCCTTATCTCCAGAGAAGCCCAAACCAAACAAACAGTGTTATACTCCACAAACCCTTAGGACCCAAGCTCCTGAATGTTGTCCTCATCATCCTGGGTCAAAGCTGGCTTATTATCAACATGTACATTTTCTCACCCTTGAGAAAGAATAGAAAGTGGAAAGCAAGCTTCCTTTTAATGAAAACAAAACAAAACAAAACAAAAACCCAGAAATAGCACACATTACTATCCCTGCATCCCATTGTCCCGTACCGAGTCACATGGTCATATCCAGCTGCAAGGGAGCCCTTGTACTCGGCTAATACTCAAGAATTTCATTACTAAAAGGAAGAAGTGAAGGATGGATTAGTATTAGCTATAGCCAAAATACTAAATTACCTTGTTAAGAAGCTGTGGGGGAGTGGGGGTTGGGTGAAATTGATGTGACTAGGGAGGTAGCCTGTGTCAGAATATAAAGGGGGCCTTTTGCAGATTAAGGGATTCTGGCTTTCATTGGAGATGAGAAGGAGGGGTCATTGTAACTTTTTCATCAGGCATGCAACTTGATGGAATTATTTTATTTAAGCAGAACCCAACCCTCTATTGACAGTTAAGTGTTGGGCTGATGAGGTAAGACTAGAGATGGGGTCAGCAGGTGGCTGACCTTTGCAGGGATCCAGGCCTGACCTGGGCATTGGCAGTGGAGATGGAGATGAGGTGACTAATTCAAGACTTGTTTAATCAGTACTGAGATGAAAGTTGAAGACAGCATTAAGGATGATGCTTTAATTTGAAGCTGGACTCCTGGGATCTAGATCTATACATTTAGAGGTTGAGACACTGTGGAACTCTTCCAGCTCTGTCTAGAGGCAGAATCTCTGCATGAGAGAAAGTAGTTTTTCTATGTCAGAATTTTTACTTGCCAACAGACTGGCCTTAGGTAAGTCACTCCAAGCGACAGTTTCTCTGCTTATAAAACAAACTCTTCTTATCTTTTGTGGGCATTGTTACAGTGAATAAATAGGGTAAGAACCTTTGAGGGTGGTTTAAATAGACAGTTTTATAATAAGGAAAACTGAGGACAGACTTGGAAATTGAGAGGGTAGAAATCCAAAAATTGAGCACAGCACACAAGGACATTTTAGAGGGAGCTTTCAAAAAGACTTTTATTGTATTTAGTATGTATTGGAAAAACTCAGACTTTGGTATCTAGTGAGAGCTCCAGAGTTGACTCTCTCACTCTCTTAGCTGTGTGACCTCAGGCAAGTTACTCAACCTCTCTGAGCCATAGGCACCTCTTCAGTAAAGCACATATAGGTACTCCCCCTTTTTGTGTTGTGATCGTCATGTGAGAGTTGGCAAAGTGCCTGGCACAGAGCCTGGTGCACAATGGTGCTTAACACATGTGAATTCTCTCTTCCCTTTGCCTTTAAGAGAAATCAAAAGATCCAGTTGACCATGTTAGTTTAGTCAAGCAATGGGTAATTCAGAGAGGAAAACTCACTCATCTGATATTTGGAATTTGGTCAAGGCAACTTGGTTGTTTGACCCAAATCTTCTTTTTCTACCAGTTGCGTTGGCATGGTTTTGGCACAGCCTTTGTGAGAGCTACTTGCTGGAACACTGAGAGAAGGTGGCTCTGTGGAAATACAAGGCAGAATGAATATAGTGATTTTAGAAATGTAAGAGTGACATGAAATCCATTAAATAACATTTTCCCCCCTCCCACTTCAGGGTAACAACTCCAGAATTGAGAGGAATGGCTCCAACAGAAGGAGAGGGAGCCATAGTTTGCGGTCCATATGCCCACTTCATTTTGCAGTTACTCCTGGCTGCCCATCTGTTCATGACTGCCTAGTCTAGCCATGGGGCTTATAAAACGGTGTCCACATACACGGATGCCTTCACTAAACAGATGCGAGAACGAGGAATGTCCATGTCTCACACCAAGCACATTCAGCATCCCTTTGTGCCTCTTTCTGCTCTGTTTACTTCGCCTTTCAATTTCACTTAAATATATTTCCAAATTATTGTTGTATTTACAAGATGGGAAAATGAAGGGGTTCTAAAATCTGCTGGATTCCTATGCTGTGCTAGGTACTCACTGGGGGCTCTATGTCTAATATTAATATCTCATAAAATCATCGCCACAGGGTAGCCATGAGTTTCACCATTTTACTGATGAAGAAACTTAAGCTCAGAGAAATGAAGTCACTTGTCCAAATTAATACACTAGGAAATGGAGGCACTGGGATTGAACGGTAGTCTAATTGCAGACGTTTTACTCTGGGACTGATGATGAACAATGATTAGAATACCCTAGCATACACACACACTCACACATGCGCGCGCGCACACAAACACACCCCTCAAGAAACCAACCAACTGACCTTTTTCAGCTTTCTGTCTCCCCTAACAGAGGACCTCTGTTTTGAGAGTTTGAGCTGAAATGACTTCTTTGATGCTAAAGGATGAGCTCCCTCTAGTGGCAGTGTGTGGTTTGGCGCAACCTCCATTGCCTGGGGACACAGGTAAATACAGAAAGACATTTTCTTTCATGCGGCACTATTTTGTCTAATGATACATTATTGAGACTCTCTTAATACAATGCAAAAATGGAATCCAAATCTGGGTTTACCTCCAGTTGGAGGAATTGCATTTTCACTGAGCTCTGTGATTTCTCAAGAGTTCTCACATCTCTGTCTCAAGGTCTTCACAGCATCCCTGGGAGATGCTTGTCTTTTCCTTATAGTTGGGAGAGATAGGAATCAGAGAGGTTAGGTGGCTTTTCCAAGGTTGCACAGCTGGTCAGGAAAGGAAACATAATTCTAATCGGGTGTATCTACTTTCAGACCTTGTGCTCTTTTTTTTTTTTCTTAAATTATACTTTATGTTCTAGGGTACATGTGCACAACGTGCAGGTTTGTTACATAGGTATACATGTGCCATTGGTTGGTTGGCACAACCAACCTACTGCCACCTTGGAGGTTTCACCTTTCTCTTCTTTCCCTAAAAATAGCAGCTCCTGTCGTACCTGTGCCACCTTCTCCATCTGGAGAATACAAACCACATACATGTTGGTTTGCTGCACCCATCAATTCGTCATTTACATTAGGTATTTCTCCTAATGCTATCCCTCCCCCAGCCCCCCATTCCCCAACAGGCCCCAGTGCGTGATGTTCCCTGCCCTGTGTCCATGTGTTCTCGCTGTTCAACTCCCACCTATGAGTGAGAACATGCGGCGTTTGGTTTTCTGTCCTTGTGATAGTTTGCTTAGAATGATGGTTTCCAGCTTCACCCATGTCCCTGCAAAGGACACGAACTCATCCTTTTTTATGGCTGCATAGTATTCCATGGTGTATATGTGCCACATTTTCTTAATCCAGTCTATCATTGATGGACATGTGGGTTGGTTCCAAGTCTTTGCTATTGTGAATAGTGCTTCAATAAACATACATGTGCATGTGTCCTCATCATAGAATGATTTATAATCCTTTGGGTATGTACACAGTAATAGGATCACTGGGCCAAATGGTATTTCTAGTTCTAGATCCTTGAGGAATTGCCATACTCAGACTTTGTGCTCTTTCAACGATATCATGGAATCTTTCTATTCCCCATCTTGATATATGTCACAGGGAGTTATCCATCAGGTGAAGGACAGGTAATCATGGTGATGATGTGGGGATTAAATGAGACAGATTAAATTATGACACATAGTTATAATTTCCTACCATTTATTCCTCTTTCCTCTGGTCCATCCTCTTACCGCCTCAGACAGATTAAAGTAAAAACCACAAATTCCATCAGATCCTTGCTTGAAAACCCCCGTGTCTCCCAATGACTCTCAGGATAAAATGGAAACTCTTAGGCTTGGCATACAAAATCTTTCATGATCTGAACCCTCCTTACCTCTCCAGGCTTATGCACCTTAACCTACTGCCACCTTGGGAGAGTTCACCTTTCTCTTCTTTCCCTAAAAATAGCAGCTCCTGTCGCCCCTGTGCCACCTTCTCCATCTGGAGCAATTCTACTAACCTTCCCTTTCCAGGTGAGACGGCACCTCTCTCTGAAGAATTTTGAAACCCCACAGATCATGCTCTATTTCCTCTTTGGTAATTCTGACACTTGATGCTCACCCCACATGGTTCTTAGTTTATGAGCCGTCATTTTACTTTAAGCATTTTTCTCTCTCTCTCTCTCTCTCTCTCTCTCTCTCTTTCTCTTAACCAGTCTAGCCATCGGGCTAGTTGTTCCTGGCTTAGTTCATCTCTGGGTCTCCAATGCCTACCACAGTTCCTGGCACACAAGGAGTTCACTAAATGTTTGCTGAATGGCTTCAGGAAAGCTACAAAGGAACACCTCTGGGCATCGTGGACAGATTCAAAGCCAACTTGATGTGTTAAATGGGGTTTAGGGCTACTTGATTATTTGTAATGCAACTCCATTATAAGTCTGTATATAAACGCCATTGACCATGGTTTTAAAATAAATGTAAAAAAAAGTATCTTAAGAAAAAAATGGTTGAAATTAAGAGCCATTTGGTTAACCTTGGGGCTTTTCTTCATGGTGCTTTCAGAAACTCCTGAGCATCAGAAGAGAAGGAAGTTTGTGGCTTCTTGAATGACTCAGGCTTTAGAAGGTCTGGGTTGTTTTGCAGCACAGATACGGATTAGTTGACCACAGCAAGATGGGTGCTTGAGGAGAGAGCTCTCAATGGCCCTTCTCTGTGGACTACCCTGGACCATCTCACTTGTGCCTCTAGGAATCCATGAAGAGCTGACCCAGCTGGTCCCTAGTTGACCTTTCTTGAGTTAAATTTTGAATTATTTTAATCATCATCTAGAAAATCTCCTGACTAGTGTCTTTGATTCCCTGAAGCTCTACTATAGCATCCCCGACCAATGAGCTTTTAGCACTTGCTCAAACGTAATGGGCTCACTCCTCTGGAAATAGCCCATCAGTTGTTATGGCAAAGACTTTCCTTAAATATTGATCTAAACTTGCCCTGTTCAACATCCCACCTACCAGTTAGGTGTGGGAGGCATAAAACCTTCTTTTCTTTCCTACTAAAAATATTTTCCTCATTGCCAACTTTTGAACCCCTTTTGCTCATAGACATAGTTAATAGCTTCCCCTGAGCAATATCTGAGCAGGCTTGGAGGTCTGACTGCCTGGTGGGCAGCATGCAGCTGTCATGGTAAGTGTGAAATGAGATATATCCAGCCACACACCAACATGAAAGCATCCGTAGCTTCCTCTGTTGAGAGATGGCCAAGACTGGAAAAAAGTATTTATTACGAATGATGATAACAGGAGTTAAAAACCGCCATGTTCCCTCAATCACAAAAATCAATGATTTTATTTTCTGTGTATGCTGCCAATTGTCCATCCATATGCAGAGCTCACATTTACAGTTACACTGATAAGCTGGGTATTTCCTGTGTTTTTCTCTGCTTAAAGTATCCTCTGTTTCATGTCATAGAAAAGCCACCTTATTATTTTAATGGCTATAGAACAGTTATTTGAGTGGAGGCACCATGATTTACTCCACCACTCCCTCATGTTGGACAGGCAGGTTGTTTCCAGGTTTTTGGCTATTGTGGATACAGTATGACTCAGTGCTACCCCTTCCTGTTCCCAGCTTCCTGCCAGGGACCCTGGCCTGGCCCTCAGTCTGTCGTGTCTGAGGATAATAATCTATTGGGCTTTGATGTAATCCCATGGGTCTGAAGGAGTCCGGCTACCCTTGGCTTGTGACTTACAGAGCTTTAGGAAGCCTTGGCTCCTCCATGGCCAGACAATCCCCACCATGTGGCTTTACCTTATACCTGGGCTTTTTCTCTGGTTTCCAATTCCCTCGCTGGGGGCCTGGCCCAGCCCCCTGTGATCAGACCACATTCTTCTGTGGTAGATGCTACAGTGGCCACCTAGATCCCTCCTCATAAATGAAGGACATGGTTCCCCAGCTGCTGGTGATTTTGCCTATTGGTAGCTCTACAGGGATTGCCTTTGTGGAAGACAGCCACCTCACCCAGGCCACGTGCCCCTTTCTGGGTCACCACCATGACTGGTGGGAGGATATAAGGGACTAAACCTGGCTCTCCAACCTGGAACAACTCTGAATGGCCATAGTAGTTTCAGAGTCTACTGTAAGCTTGGCTGAGGCCTCCATCAAGGCTGCGGCCGAACTTCTCCCTCTGCCCAATCCTGCTTTCTTCCTTCCCCTCTCTTCCGTAGGCATTGATCCAGCGAACACACTCAAGCGAACCTCCTGCACTCTAATCACCATCTCAGAGTGCTTCCTGGGAAATGCAACCTGTGACCCCTTCCTGGTCCTTGCTCCCTGGGCTCTACTCTCCCCCACAGCAGCTAGCTGTCGCCTAGGAGGCTCATATGGGAGGGATGTCCTCTTCCCTGGGCCACTGCCTGGGAGGCTGATGCAAGTGGGATGTCCCCCTTTCCTGGGCCACCACTCATGCAGCTCCCCTGAGCTGCAACATTGCACTCAACTACAGTCAGAGCCTTACTGACCCCTGGCTAAGTCAGTTTCCAGCTCTTCCTCTGAGATTGTTTTCAATTCTTATCTCTTCCTTAAACCTCCATAATCAAAGAGTTACTGACTTCTGGTGACTGGGTAATGAGACTATCCAGAAGAGCATATTCCTTCCTTCTCTCCCAGCTATCTCTTCCTCTCCTCCCCACTATCACTACTTAGTGGGCTTCCATTGTCCATCTCTGCTTAGACTGTGGCCATGTTCTGTTAACTGGCCTCCCTGTCTGCTCTTGTCTCTCTGCTGTCCTCCTCTATGCTGCAGCCAAAGAAACCATTCCAAGGCTCACATTTGCTCATGTCATTCCCTTGCTGATCACACTACAATGACTCCTTGTGATTTATACGAAGACAAAGCCTAGACTCAGCAGAACACAGAAAGCCCTCTACAGTCTGAGCCCAACTGCCTCTGTGTCTCCTGTAACCCTGGACTTTCCTCTGGTTTCCTGAATACTGAAAACTCTTGCAAGCTTCCAGGAGTTTGCTGAGGTTGTTCCCACTGCCTGGAATGCTGTTCTCAACTTTCTTCACCTCGTTAACTTGCTTATTCTTCCAGATTCAGCTCGATTGTCAGCCTTTCTAGGAATCTTTTTTCTAAACCTCCAAGGGAGGGCTAACAGCCCCACCTTAGTTAGTCTCATGACCCCCCATGCTTACTACTCACCTTTAGTGTGGTTGTGTTTTTTTGCTTTTTTATGAGACAGGGTCTCACTCTGTCATCCAGGCTAGAATGTGATGATGCATTCATAGCTCATTGCAGCCTAGACCTCCCGGACTCAAGCCACCTTCCTACCTAAGCCTCCCAACTAGCTGGAACTACTACAGATGCATGCCATGATGCCCGGCAAATTTTTAATTTTTTTTTGCAGAGACAGGGTATCACTATGTTGCTCAGTCTGAGGTCTCAAATTCCTGGTTTCAAGTGATCTTCCCACCTTAGCCTCCCAAAGTGCTGGGATTACAGGCATAAGTCACCATGCCCAGCCTTACCTTTAGTATTAAAACATGCCTTCACTTCTGTCTCTTTCTGTGTTCAGTGAGTTTTTTTGAAGACATTGAGCAAGTCTTATTCATACCTGCATTTCTAATGCCTGATGTACATGGCACTGAGTAGACGTCTCTATGGGACCCAGCCTGAGGCTCTTAATTTGTCGCGTTGCATTGGTTTGCAAAGCATTATATCAATTTAAATTGTTATAAGCAATGTGCAAATGAACCAATTTCATGATAACCTCACCAAGGTTGAGTATTGTTAGTCTTAAATTTGATGGCTGTAAAATGCTCTACATTGTTTTGATTGCATTTTTATAGATATTGGGATTAAACATTTTCCCATGTGACTTGCTGATTAATTGCATCTCTTCTTGTATGGATTACATGTTCCTGCCCTTACCTTTGCATTATAACCTACAGCCTCATGTCAGTTTCCTGACTTAAAAATATCAACACCGAAGTAGGCTCTTCCAGACATGAGTTGGCTTGAATATGGCTGTGTGATTTTGAAATAGTTACATCCCTCTGTGGGCTTCAGTTTCCTTTCTTTAAAATAATAGGTTACTTTACTTAGCTCCTGGCTGGAATCACTTGGTAGCCTTTAAAAAAACACAGACTCCTGGGCTTAACTCTACTGACTTGGTCTCTCTATGATTTTTCTAAGGCCCCTAGGTGACTCTGGTGCAGCCACTTCAGCCAGGTTCATAGCCTGACTTTGGGAGCCATGGGCCTCCCAGCTCTGTGGTCTGTGTAGTTCTGTGTGGCCTGGGTATGTGGCGCCTGCAGAAAAGAAGAAAGGAGGAATCTGTGGCTGTGTTCTAAGACCCAAGGCCCCACGTGGAATGAAGAGCATTCTTATTCTGTGTGGCTCCAGAGGGAGACCAGCATGAAAAGGTGGCTTTTGGCTCTGCAAATTTGGAAACTTGCCAAAGACTCACATGACCCTACACAGAGACAGGAAGCCTTGGGGGCTGTGGGGAGAGTCAGCATAGTGTTGCACAGAAAGGGCTTGGCAAATATTTACATATTTGAACATTTATTTTATTTATTGTTTGAGACAGGGTCTTACTCTGTTGCCCAGGCTGGAATGCAGTGGTACAATCACAGCTCACTGTAATCTTAAACTTCTGGTCTTAAGTGGTCCTCCACCCTCGGCCTTCCAAAGTGTTGGGATTACAGGCATGAGCCACCACACCTGGCCTTAACAGCTTTCCTGAGATACAATTCACATACCACACAATTCACCCATTTAAAGTGTACAATTCAGTGGTTTTTAGTGTGTTCACAGAGTTGTTCCACCGCCATATCACAGACTTATTTTGAAGATAAAACGAGACCATGCAGGAGAAACATTTAGCACAGTGTCAGAGGCATAGTGTGAGTAATGAATGCCAGATATTATTGTCCTTGATAGATTCCTTATCCTTGGTGAGGTTTGAGAGTTTTTGGAGTGACAATTTCATAGGGCTATTGCGGGGGACACTTGGATATTAGGGAGAGAGAAATAGGGCCCAACTGAGCGAGCTCCCAGGTCTCTTCTACCTTGTGGGGCAGGACATCTACAACAATAATTATTAATATACACATGTGTGCAAATCATGTAAAATTCCTTAATCCTCACATTAGCTCTGGGAGCTTAGTTTTTATCCTCATTTGTCCCCATTCCTCAAAGGTGAAAACTGAGGCTTACAGAGGCTGTGGCTTTTCCAAGATCAAAATTCCATGATCTCTTTATATAGCACAGATAAACACGTCTATTTGCCACCTACTTTTGCTTGGTTTTGGACATCATTTAAGTTGCAAGTTTTCAGAAAGGATAAGATCCAGGTGGAAAAATTCCAAGAAGTACAGAAATTGACTTTAAGTTTATCTGATGAACGGTAGCCAGCAGCTCCCCTCTCTCTGCACTTTCTCCTTTCTTACTTCTCCTTTGATTTTCTCTTGCATGCTACAGGTCAAGGAGACACAGCAGACAAGGACAACAGGCAAGAGGGGGCTCTTTAATGAGGGTAGGGTATGATGGGTCTGGGAAAGTCAGGAGGTAGCATTCCAAACCCACTGTGTGCTTGAACCCTACGGGGTGCATTTGGTTTAAAATCCCAGTGCAAAATTGTATGGTATGCAAATTATATCTTGAGAGAGTCCCTGCCCACCTAGTTTTCCCCAAGTGGGTTTGAGTCAGTCGCAGCCCATCCTGGGCTACTTTCCTCTTTCTCAACTTCCAGCTGAATGTACTGATGCCACTCTACAGGTGTCCCCTTGTTCCTGTCCCATCCCCATCCCCATGGAGGCTGGGAGGGGGCGTCTACTACAGGTACCTTTCTTCTCCCCAGGGAAGGAGACTCAGTTTCATCAGCCTCCTTGTTAAAGAAGGAAAGACAGATGCAGCCCTGGCTGCTGGGACCTTCTACTGTGACCTGAGACATGCCCCCGCTCCCCCATGTATTAGGACGCTCTCTTTAGACAGAGGTTTTACTATTCCTGAGTCTCAACAAAACTCGATGAGTCCTAGCCCCTGTAATTAGTCCATCTCTGTTCCCTCTTCTAACTTCCTGTTCCGGTGGTGCCTTGTTTGTAAGGCTGGCTTCCCATGCCCCAGCTTCAGTCTCTTTGGTCAGACCCCCAAATGCTAACTGTGACCCCTCTCCTGGCTGAGCACTATCTATTTTTGTTTATGTTTAAATCCCCAGGATCTAGCTTTATGCCTGGCACACAATAGGAGTTAATATTTATTGAACAAATAAATTATAAGCATTCAAGGGAAATTAGCATTGCAGGAATGGGTGGCAATCAGTTATTTGTTTTCAAGTCAGGATGATTTTTAAAGTTTTTATTGTTTATTTTCACCCAAACCTAACCTGCTAAAGAAACATATGACTGATTTTCTTAGATTTTACAAGGTGCCAGAGGACTTAATTTGACATACAGAAACTCTTCAAATTTCTGAACGTTACCCCGGATGCTCTTGCTATATCATCCCACATCCTGTTCGGATTTCTGCTGTTTAGATTTGATGTGTCTTCCCATCCCACATGGGGATAAATGGCTTTTTAACAATTCTGTAATAAAATGACTTCAGCCATCTTTGCTATTTAAAACCTGTATCTATCCAGATATTTATTTATAAGCACATCCCCTTATATGGTTTGAAGGGATTCAGATACTCTTTGGAGGTTTTCAAATCTAAGACTTCACTTTTCAAAAATCAAATTTTGTGGTTTTTTCTCTGTGGGGAGACCAACCACTTTAGTAATAAAATAAAGGGGAATAACAATGGCCAGGCATACATGGAATGTGAGGCAGGCTTGATAAGGCGCCAGGGGGTGTGGAAGTGTTCCTCCAGGTTTCTCTTGTGGCTGCTTGTTCTTGGCCCATCAGGAGGAAAGCCCCAGAAGCCCCATTCCAGAAAATTGGCTCGTTCTCCAGAGCACCTTCAGTTGCCACGGTGGAGCTGCATCTGTTGGCTCTGGATTTTAACACATTCATTGCCTGGCCTCTGTTACAGATTGAACTGTGTTTCCTCCCCCACCAAATTCACATGTTGAAGCCCAACCTCCCAAGGTGACTATATTTGGAGATAGGGCTTTTATGGAGGTAGTTAAGGTTAAATGAGGTCATAAGACTGGGGCTCTAACCCAATAGGACTGTTGTCCTTATAAAAAGAGGAAGAGATGTCAGCGCACTCTCTCCACACGTGCAGAGAGGAGAGGCCATGCCAGGACACAGGAAGAAGACAGCTGTCTTTCTCTTCATCAAGAAGACACACTTTGCCAGACAGTGAATTTGCTGGCACCTTGATCATGAACTTCTAGCCTCCAGGACATGAGAAAATCAGTGGCTGCTGTATAAGGCAGGGTGGTGTTCTATTATGGTAGCCCAAGTACACTAATACAGGCTCCAAATGGGTTTTCTTTTTCTATTCCTTTTTCTCCCCAGGGACAGTGTATTTGTTTCTTAGGGCTGCCATAAGAAATGACTATACACTTGGTGGCTGAAAACAGCAGATGTTTATTCTTTCAGAGTTCCAGAGGCTAGAAGTCCAAAATCAAGATGTTAAAAGGGTCACACTCCCTCCAAAGCCTCTAGCAAGAACACTTCCTTGCCTCTTCCCACTTCTGGTGGCACCAGTTATTCCTTGCCTTGTGACAGCACCACCTCGAGTTGTGCCTCTGTCATCACATGGCCTTCTCTCTCTGTGTCCTTTTCTGTCGCTTATAAGAACACTTGTCTTTGGATTTAGGGCCCACCCAGGTAATCTAGATGAGTTCATATCAAGATCTTTAATTACATCCGCAAAGACGCTTTTTCCAAAAAAGGTCACATTTACCCACTAAGGGGCTTAGGATGTGGATGTAAGTTTTGGGATCCCACCAATCAACCTACTAGATAGGCTATTTTATGTAACACAAGTGATGTCCAACATATGTACATTGTTTGGTAATTGTGCCCTTTCATCAAGCATGAACTCATATGATCTAGACAAATGCTGGGAGTGGTAGCTCTTATTATGTCCATTCTACAGAGGAGGAAAGGAAGTTAAGTGACTTGGTCAAGGCCACACAGTGAACAAATTATGTGGCTACATTTTAATCCAAGGTTTCCTGTCTCCAAATTCCATGTTCTTCTTACTCTGCCCTAGTGGCTCTCAATTTACGTTGATGAAATGAAGATGATGGTGTTAAGAAGAGTAGCTATGAGCCTGTATTAAATGCTTACTCTGGGCCTGGCCCTGTGCCAAGAGTTGTGTTTATGCTATTTCACTTAATCCTCACCACAACTCTAAAAGGTAGATGCTATTATAATATCCATTTTATATGTAAAGAAACTGAGGCACAGAGAGTTGAAGTTAGCTGTCTAAGGTCCCCAGATGACAAATAGCAGAGGTAGGATTTGAACACACATATTTTGAAATCAAAGCACAAAGTCTTAATCTATTTTGGCTGCTTCCTTGAAAGAATAATGTAGTACCTTGACATTTGCAAGTACCTGTGGAATTAAAATCCAAATAGCATACACACGAATGGGCCAGGCTTTGGAGTCAAGCCTGCACTGTATTCTACCTGCCTTTTGGGTCCAGAGGGGAAACACAACAGAAAGAGCATGGATTCTGGAGCCAGCCTGTGTCTAGGTTTGAATACTTGTTCTACCAATTCCTATCTATGTGACACTGAGCAAGGCTATTTTCTTCAGTTAACTAGGAGTGATACTCCTAGTACCTACTTCATAGGTGGTTCTGTGGATTTAATGAGTTTACGTTAGCATTTGCAAAGCTTTTAGAACAGTGTCTGGCACATGGTAATGGCTATATAAGTGTTCGATTTAAAAAATAAACCCCAAAATCTTCTTAGAGTCTCAAGGTAGGGGTTAGACATACCTTAGGTAACTTGTGTGAACATTAAATGCAAACATCCCGAACATAATGCCTGATTCAATGTTATAGACAACAAACGGCTATGGTTATTATGGTATATGGGGAGTCAAAGGGTACCTTGATCTCCTTCCCAGCCCTTCTTTGGAAAGAACATTACAGCTCCAGACTCCAGGAGTGGAGGCCCTCAGCTTCACACCCCACTTGGCACAGACAGGCAGAGTTGTCTTGGGTGATTTTAAGGGAAGCAATTTTGCCTCCCTTTAAATCCAGAGTTGCCAATTTTGCATCATCAATATTCCTGTACAGGAATGTAGTTTACTGGCATGAAACAATTATCTTCACACTTAAAAACAGGGGTGAGTGGTTGATAGCCACGATCTTACCCCAGTTTTCCTGGAGTATTAGCCTAGAAGCCTCATGACTGACAATAAAGAGATTCTGGTAGTGTAGGGAAGCAAAAGTGAAGTTTAGTGCCAGCAGTCTAGGCTTCCTGGGGAAGGGTCTTCAGAGAAAAGTTACTTTTCAAAGACTGTTTGTATTATGTCACGAAGAAAGAAAAGTGGATGTTAGGCTGGGATGAGTGGATCTTCTAATCGACTTTTCTCTACTTTGTTTTTTCCTCTTCTACTTTCCCATATCTTAACCTGGATCATCAACCAGCTGCTAGCAGGTCTTATGCAGATTACATGAAATGATACCACTTAAAATTTGTATAGGTCTACAACTTATAGATCCTTTCAACTTACCTAATTTCATTTAATTCTCATAATTACTCAACCTGATTCCCATTTTACAGATGAGAAAATTGAGGACCAGAGAATTTTTAAGTCCCAGCACATAAGCTAGGTAGCTGGAGAATCAGGATCACAGCTCAGATTTATTAAATCCAGTTTTTGTGTAGTGTCTTGGCAGTTCTGGAAGGAGACAAAGCCAGAGATATAACCTTCCTTCTTTTCTTTGGAAACTGTTCCTTCTCTTCCTGTCAATTCTCCTATCCTGCAGGCACAGAAGACCTGAAGGGGTATGACACCTAAGCTAGCTCTCTTCAGCCAGATTTTCTCTAACCCCCTCCCCACAAATGCTAAGCAAATGTTGCACAAAGACTTCTGCAGAGGACACTGTGCCTGAGATGATTCCCTAGAGTGTGTTTGTACCTTATGCATCCCTGGGATCCTCAGTCTGGAATGGAGCCTCCCTCCCTCACCTCCAGAGGAGTAAAGCTATGCCCTCTTATCTTTCAGCTGTGCACTGACTGTTCTCCCACCAAAAGGCTCTGAGCTTTGTGAGGGCAAGACTGGGCACTGGTGAAGTGCTTAGCAGATGGGTGTTTCCCAAAGTTGAGTTGTATTGTGGATTCTTTCCAGTTCTGGCCTGTTTATTTTTCTGGATTGAAGGAGTAGGGCTGGCTTCATGGGATGCCATCTGTGTCATTGCATGGGGCTCTGCCCTTAGAAAGTCCCTGAGCATGGCTTCATGCTCTGTTGTTACTTTCTTGACAACAGAGAAATTCTTAATAATCTTTGAATAAGGGGTCTTGCAAATCATGTAGTTGTCCTTGGAAAGGAGGCTTGTTTATCTTCAGGTCTTCCAACCAAAAGCGCCATGAGCTTCAAAGACCTGACTTGTCCTTTGGGTGGTGTACATTTAAACAGATGTACAGAAGTTAGCATTTTTTATTTGGTCAATCTTTTCTTTATCATTTGTGTCCCTGGTCCTGTGATTAGGAAGTTTTCTTCTGCCTCTCCAATATGGTATATCTGCCTTTTTTTTTTCTTTTTTAAATATTTTATTTTAAGTTCTGGGATACATATGCAGGATGTACAGGTTTGTTACATATGTAAATATGTGCCATGGTGGTTTGCTGCACCTATGAACCCCTCACCTAGGTATTAAGCCCACCATCCATTAACTATTTATTCTGATGCTCTCCCCCACCACCCCTGTGCCCTCCCAACAGGCCCAAGTGTGTGTTGTTCCCCTCCCTGTGTCCATGTGTTCTCATTGTTCAGCTCCCACTTACAAGTGAGAACATGCCATGTTTGGCTTTCTGTTCCTGTGTTAGTTTGCTGAGGATGATGGCTTCCAGCTCCAAACACGTCCCTGCAAAGGACATGATTTTGGTCTGGGCACAGTGGTTCATGCCTGTAATCCCAGCACTTTGGGAGGCCGAGACTGGTGGATTGCTGAGGTCAGGAATTTGAGACCAGTCTGGCCAACATGGTGAAATCCCGTCTCTACTAAAAATACAAAAAAATTAGCCAGGCATGGTGGCATGCACCTGTAATCCCAGCTACTCGGGAGGCTGAGACAGGGGAATTTCTTGAACCAGGGAGATGGAGGTTGCAGTGAGCTGAGATCGCGCCACTGCACTCCAGCTTGGGTGACAGAGTGAGACTACTCTGCCTCAAAAAAAAAAAATGATTTTGTTCCATTTTATGGATGCATAGTATTCCATGGTGTATATGTACCACATTTTCCTTATTCAGTCTATCACTGATGGGCATTTCAGTTCATTCCATGTCTTTGCTATTGTGAATAGTGCTTCAATGAACATACATGTGCATGTATCTTTATAATAGAATGATTTATATTCCTTCGGGTATATACCCAGTAATGGGATTGCAGGGTCAAATGGTATTTCTGGTTCTAGGTATTTGAGGAATTGCCACAGTGTCTTCCACAATGGTTGAACTAGTTTACATTCTCACCAACGGTGTAAAAGTGTTCCTATTTCTCCACAGCCCCACCAGCATCTGTTGTTCCTTGATTTTTAATAATCACCATTCTGGCTGGTATGAGATAGTATCTCACTGTGGTTTTGATTTACATTTCTCTGATGATCAGTGATGTTGAGCATTTTTTCATTTGTTTGTTGGCCACATAAACATCTTCTTTTGAGAAGTGTCTGTTCATGTCCTTTGCCCACATTTTGATGGGGTTTTTGTTATTTTTCTTGTAAATTTGTTGAAGTTTCTTGTAGATTCTGAATATTAGACCTTCGTCAGATGGATAGATTGAAAAAATTATCTCCCATTCTATAGGCTGTCTGTTCACTCTGATGATAGTTTATTTTGCTGTGCACAAGCTCTTTAGTTTAATTAGATCCCATTTGTCAATTTTTGCTTTTGTTGCAATTGCTTTTGATGTTTTCATCAAGAAATCTTTGCCCATGCCTATGTCCTGAATGGTATTGCCTAGATTTTCTTCTAGGATTTTTATAGTTTTGGGTTTTACATTTAAGTCATTAATACATCTTGAGTTAATTTTTGTATAAGGTGTAAAGGCATAAGGAAGGGGTCCAGTTTCAATTTTCTGGATATGGCCACACAGTTCTTTCAGCACCATTTACTAAATGGGCAATCCTTTCCCTATTGCTTGTTTTTGTCAAGTTTGCTGAAGATCAGATGGTTTTAGATGTGCAGTCTTATTTCTGAGATCTCTATAATGTTTCATTGGTTTATGTGTCTATTTTTGTACCAGTACCATGCTATTTTGGTTACTGTAGCCTTGTAGTATAGTTTGATGTCAGGTAGCATGATGCCTCCAGCTTTTTTCTTTTTGCTTATAATTGTCTTAGTTATATGGGCTCTTTTTTGGTTCCATATGAGTTTTAAATTAATTTTTTCACTAATTCTGTGAGGAATGTCAGTGGTAGTTTAATGGGAATAGCATTGAATCTATAAATTACTTTGGGTTGTATGGTCATTTTCATGTTATTGATTCTTCCTATTCATGAGCATGAAATGTTTTTCCAATTGTGTTCTGTCTGATTTCCTTGAATAGTGGTTTGTAGTTCTCCTTGAAGAGGTCCTTCACTTCCCTTGTTAGCTGTATTCCTGGGTATTTTATTCTCTTTGTAGCAATTGTGAATGAGAGTTCATTCACGATTTGGCTGTCTGCTTGTGTATTGTTGGTGTATAGGAATGCTTGTGATTTTCGCACATTGATTTTGTATCCTGAGACTTTGCTGAAGTTGCTTATCAGCTCAAGAAGCTTTTGGGCTGAGACAATGGGGTTTTCTAGATATAGGATCATGTCATCTGTAAACAGAGACAGTTTGACTTCCTCTCTTCCTATTTGAATACCTTTTATTTCTTTTTCTTTCCTGATTGCCCTGGCCAGAACTTCTAATACTATGTTGAATAGGAGTGGTGAGAGAGGGCATCCTTGTCTTGTGCCAGTTTTCAAGGGGAATGCTTCTAGCTTTTGCCCATTCAGTACGATGTTGGCAGTGGGTTTGTTATAAATGGCTCTTATTATTTTGAGGTATGTTTCATCGATACCTAGTTTATTGAGAGTTTTTAACATGAAGGGATGTTGAATTTTATCAAAGGCCTTTTCTGCATCTATTAAGAGAATTATGTGGGTTCTGTCTTTAGTTCTGTTTATGTGATGAATTACATTTATGGATTTGCATATGTTGAACCAGCCTTGCATCCTGGGGATGAAGCTGACTTGATTGTGGTGGATAAGCTTTTTGATGTGCTGCTGGATTTGGTTTGCCAGTATTTTTATTGAGGATTTTTGTATCAATGTTCATCAGGAATATTGGTCTGAAGTTTTCTCTTTTTGTTTTATCTCTGCCAGGTTTTGGTATCAGGATTATGCTGGCCTGATAAAATGAGTTAGCGAGGAGTCCCTTCTTTTCAATTGTTGGAATAGTTTCAGAAGAAATGGTACTAGCTCCTCTTTGTACCTCTGGGAGAATTCAGTTTTAAATCTGTCTGGTCCTAGGCTTTTTTTGGTTGGTAGGCTATAAATTACTGCCTCAAATCAGAGCTTGTTACTGGTCTAATCAGGGATTTAACTTGTTCTTGATTCAGTCTTGGGAGGGTGTATATGTCCAGGAATTTATCCATTTCGTCTAGATTTTCTAGTTTATTCACATAGAGCTATTTGTGGTATTCTCTGATGATTGTCTTTCTGTGAGGTCAGTTTTTATTGTGTCTTTTTGATTCTTCTGTCTTTTTTTAGTCTAACTAGTGGTCTATTTTATTAATTTTTTCAAAAATCCAGCTCCTGGATTCATTGAATTTTTTTGAAGGGGTGTGTGTGTGTGTGTGTGTGTGTGTGTGTGTGTGTGTGTATGTCTATCTCCTTCAGTTCTGCTCTGATCTTGGTTATTTCTTGCCTTCTGGCTTTGGGGTTTGCTTGCTCTTGGTTCTCTGGTTTCTTTAGTTGTGATGTTAGGGTGCTGATTTGAGTTATTTCTAGCTTTCTCATGTGGGCATTTAGTGCTATAAATTTCTCTCTTAACACCGCTTTAGCTGCATCCCAGAGATTCTGATACATTGTCTTTGTTCTCATTGGTTTCAAGGAGATTTTGATTTCTCCCTTAATTTCATTATTTACCCAGGAGTCATTCAGGAGCAGATTCTTCAATTTCTATGTAGTTGTGCAGTTTTGAGTGAGTTTCTTAATCTTGATTTCTAATTTAATTGCACTGTGGTCTGAGAGACTGTTATGATTTCAGTTGTTTTACATTTGCTAAGGAGTGTTTTACTTCCAATTATGTGATTGATTTTAGAATAAGTGTCGTGTAGCGCTGAGAAGAATGTATATTCTGTTGTATTTTGGGTGGAGAGTTCTGTGGCTATCTATCAGGTCTGCTTGATCCAGAGGTGAGTTCAAGTCCTGAATATCTTTGTTAATTTTCTGTCTCAGTGATCTGTCTAATATTGACAGTGGGGTGTTGAAGTCTCTCACTATTATTGCGTGAGGGTCTAAGTCACTTTGTAGGTCTCAGATAACTTGTTTTATGAATCTGGGTGCTCCTGTATTGGGTGCATATACATTTAGGATAGTTAGCTCTTCTTGTTGAATTGAACTCTTTACCAATATGTAATACCCTTTGTCTTTCTAGATCTTTGTTAGTTTTAAAGTCTATTTTGTCCATAACTAGGATTGCAACTTCTGCTTTTTTCTGCTTTCCATTTGCTTGGTAAATTTTCCTCCATCCCTTTATTTTGAGCCTTTGTGTGTCTTTGCACATGAGGTTGGTCTCTTAAATACAGCACACCAATGGGTCTTGGCTCTTTATCCAGCTTGCCATTCTGCATCTTTTAATTGGGGCATTTAGTCCATTTACATTTAAGATTATTATGGTTATGTGTGAATTTGATCCTGTCATCATGATGCTAGCTGGTTATTTTTCACTTGTTGATGTAGTTGCTTCATGGTGTCATTGGTCTTTGTACTTTAGTGTGTTTTTGTGGTGGCTGGTAACGGTTTTTCCTTTCCATATTTAGTGCTTCCTTCAGGAGCTCTTGCAAGGCAGAGCCTGGTGGTGATTTCCCTCAGCATTTGCTTTTCTGAAAAGGATTTTATTTCTCCTTTGCTTATGAAGCTTAGTTTGGCCAGATTCAAAATTCTAGGTTGGAAATTCTTTTCTTTAAGAATGTCGAATATTGGCCCCCAATCTCTTCAGGCTTGTAAGGTTTCTGCTAAGAGGCCTGCTGTTAGTCTGATGGGCTTCCCTTTGTAGGTGACCTGTCCTTTCTCTCTGGCTGCCCTTAACATTTTTTTCCCTTCATTTCAACCTTGGAGAATCTGATGATTATGTGTCTTGGGGTTCATCTTCTCATGGAGTATCTTACTGGGGTTCTCTGGATTTCCTGAATTTGAATGTTGGCCTGTCTTGCTAGGTTGGGGAAGTTCTCCTGGATATCCTGAAGTATGTTTTCAAACTTGGTTCCGTTTTCCCCATCTCTTTCAGGTACCCCAGTCAGTCATAGGTTTGGTCTTTTTACATAATCCCATAGTTCTTGGGGTTTCTTCATTCCTTTTTATTCTTTTTTCTCTATTTTTATCTGCCTGTCTTATTTCAGCAAGATAGTCTTCAAGCTCTGAAATTCTTTCCTCCATTTGGTCTGTTCAGCTATTGATACTTGTGGTTGCATTATGAAGTTCTTATGTTGTATTTTTCAGCTCCATCAGGTCATTTATGTTCTTCTCTAAACTGGTGTTCTGGTTAACCGCTCCTGTAATGTTTTATGATGGTTCTTAGCTTCTTTGCATTGGGTTAGAACATGCTCCTTTAGCTCAGTGAAGTTCATTACTGCCCACCTTCTGAAGCATACTTCTGTCAGTTCATTCATCTCAGCCTCAGCCCAGTTCTGTGCAGTTGCTGGAGAGGTATTGTCGTCATCTGGAAGGGAAGAAGCACTCTGACTTTCTGAGTTTTCAGAATTTTTTTGTTGATTCTTTCTCATCCTCATGAGTTTATCTACCTTTGATCTTTGAGTCTGCTGACCTTTGGATGGTTTTTTTGTGGAGACTTTTGTTAATGTTGTTGTTGTTGCTCTCCATTTGTTTGTTTTTCTTTTAACAGTAAGGCCCCTCTTTCATAGGGCTGCTGTGGTTTGCTGGGGGTCCACTCCAGACCCTATTTACTTAAGTCCCTCCTGTCCCTTGAGGTGTCATCAGTGGAGGCTACAGAACAGCAAAGATGGCTGCCTGTTCCTTCCTCTGGGAGCTCTGTCCCAGAGTGGCACCGACCCAGTATCAGTAGGAATGCTCCTGTATAAGGTATCTGGTGACCTCTGTTGTGGGGTCTCACTCAGTCAGGAGGCACAGGATCAGGGACCTGCTTAATGCAGCACTCTGGCTGCCTCTTGGTGGAGGTGGTCCTCTGCACTGGGGGGAATCCCACTTGTCCATACTGCCTGATTCCTCAGAGCCAGCAGGGGGAAAGACTAAGTCTGCTGATACATGGAATCTGCAGCCTCTCTTCCCTCCAGGGGCTCTATTCCAGGGAGATCAGAATTCTGTCCATAAACCCTTGGCTGGAGTTGCTGAAATTCCCACAGGGAGGCCCCACCTGGTGAGGAGGAATGGGTCCGGGTCTGGCCTAAAGAGGCAGTCTGGCTACAATCTGCCACGGCCACTGTGCTGCACTATGGGGAATTCCTCCTGGGTCCAAACTACCCAGTTTCCTTGGCACCAGCAGGGAAAAACGGCAGACTGGAGCTGCAGTGATGGCTGCCACTCCTCTCCCAGGGAGCTGTCATCTTAGTCAGCAAGCAGCCACAGTGATGGTGGCTGCCCCTCCCCCTGGGAACTCTTAGTCTTAGGCAGTCTCGGGCAGTCTCCAGCCAGGCGGCCACAGAGAATCTGCACATGAGGGGTAAGTGGTGCCAATGAGCCTAGAGAGGTAAGTGAGGATGTGCAAAGCAGAGATTAAGATTTTGATCTTGGCCTTAGAACAAGAAGTCATTGATGCCATTAAAGGAATCTTAGTTTCATGTTGTTAAAACCAGTCTGTTAGAATTATGAAGAGTAGATTGGATGGGACAAGAAGTGCATCCAGGTAGGAGGCTGTGCCAGTGCCCAGGCAAGAGCTAATGGAGGTTCAGACTTGGTGGTGCACCAGTGGAAAAATCTGAGGGTTATTAAGAAAGAAAAGAATGAGACTTGGTGATAGATTGTTATGAGGGGTTATGAAGACTAATAATACTCCTTACCTTTTAGGGAAGTAAGGATGGAATGAGAAAACACAGGAACAATGCCTGCACAGAGTAGGCATTCAATAAATATTAGTTTCCTTCCTCATCCTTGAACCTGGGTTTCTGAGGCTCTATCAGCCCTTGAACACTGTTTTGGAGATGTCAGCCTACAGCTTCAGCTTCCCAGAGGGTTCAAGGGAATCACCTCCCACCTTTCTAGATTCCACACTTTTGCTGCTATTGCCTACCTTGTGGCACTTAGTGGGCAGCCATTCCTTATATAGAAATTACTGTCAACCAAGGTCCTCAGGTCTGTGTCTTCATGCTGTCAAAGCCCACCTCTGCCCCATGCACCATAAGCCGCAGATGAGGAGAAAGTGCAGATAGGTTAGTCCTCTGCTTAGGTGGAGCTGAGACCCCATGAGGGGGTCTTCTTGATAGCTAAGCCACGGACTGAGCAATACCTGTCTCCTCAGAAGAGGAGGGTAGGGGGCAGAGGCCATGTGGCTTCTGTCTTTCCCCAGGTAATATATGGGAGGAAGGGATTTGTAAAGAGATCATAGGGGAGAAGGTCTCAGCCAGGGCTCAGGCTCACATATATATGCAATTGTGTACATGTACCTGTGTACCCAGGGCTGTCTGCAAGTGCATGCTTATGAGTTCACATGTAATGGCATTATGTCCATGTGCTTGGCATGCTTGGGCTCAGGTCTGTATGTGCATGCATTTTTCCATGTGTGCACATACATGCTTGGATATGTGGAAAGTAGGTATGTGTGCATGCGTGCACATCATGTATCCATGTGCTCCGTGTGTGTCTCTGCAGAAGCCTTGGGCCTAAGCAGCCCCACCCCCAGAGTCACACATGCCCCTGACTGCCAGCAGGTGGCCCCTGAGCACCGTGTGCTGGGCTCTGGGGAAGGGGTCAGTGTGTTCCTGCCTCCCTCTCTTTCCTGAGAATCCCTGAGGTTAGGAAGTCCAGAGCGTTCTCCACTGCTCTAGCCTCTTGGGACTTTACCCCTGAGGCTCTGTTTACCTGAGATTCCACCCTCTTGCCACACAGAGGAGAAGCAAAGCCAGTAGCCAGGGGGCAATCCTGGGCTTAAGGAAGGCAATTCTGACCTGCCTAAGGTCCTGAAAGTGTCAGGGCTTACCTTTACATAGGGCTGCTGAACACCTGTGGTGTTCCTGGCTCTGTGCAAGGCTCTTGCAGAGAGATACTGGCCCAGACCAAGGCAGGCAGCAGGCACATAGGCAAGCCCTATGCCTGTGCTGAGGCTGGGGAGGAGTGTGGTCTGAGGATGAGGACTGTTCCATCTGGGCCACAGAAGGGGCAGAAGACAGTGCCCAGGGATACTTGCTGACCCCTGCTTGAAGTGGCACTGAGGCCAAGCAAGAGAGACAGATGGCATTTCCCTTTCTTGGAAGGGGGGCAATGCTATCATCCATATCTCATAAAGACAGCAACCAAGTACACAAAGACAGGCAATCTTTATTAATTGTGACTGTATGGCCTCAGGATAGTCAGGAAGGCTTGAAAAGAAAACCAAGGACTCAGTTGGATTTGACCACATGCACCTGAGAGCCACCAGAATGCCAGAGAGCTCCGTTAGTCCACTCTGCCTGGTTTAGTCCCCATGAATGGCTGTGAGCAGACAGGCCCCTGGATGGCTTGTTTCCGGATCTTTGGTGCCTCGCAGAGGGCTGAGCCAGGGTGGACACTCACTGGTGACTCCATGGTTTGGAGCCTTGGTGGGCAGTGCCTGGAGCATCTGGGAGGTGGGGTGCCTAAGTAAGGGCAGTCGAGGTGGTAGAGGGCAACTGGAAAGAGATGGTGGTACTTGAAGCTGAGTTTGGACCAGAGCTGCTCTGGTTGGGTTGGAGGAAGTCTGAGAGAGGTGAGGCTCCAGAGAAGGGGCCCAGATTAAACCGCTATAGAGCTGGGAAAGACCCGAGCCATCAGGCAATCCTGTGGTTTTTACCCTGCTTCCTGCAGGGCACTAGGGGACCCCCGATGTGCCCCAGAGCAGTCAGTGGTGGTGTGAAGGAAGCAGAGAGAGAGGCATTAGGTGAGACTCTAGACTCCTGCCTCAATTCAATCGAAGCCACTCAGGTTTTTTTTTTTTTTTTTTTTTGAGACGGAGTCTCGCTCTGTCGCCCAGGCTGGAGTGCAGTGGCGCTATCTCCGCTCACTGCAAGCTCCGCCTCCCGGGTTCACGCCATTGTCCCACCTCAGCCTCCCGAGTAGCGGGGACTACAGGTGCCCACCACCACACCCGGCTAATTGTTTTTTTTTTTTTTTTTGTATTTTTAGTAGAGACAGGGTTTCACCATTCACAGGATGGTCTTGATCTCCTGACCTCGTGATCCACCCGCCTCAGCCTCCCAAAGTGCTGGGATTACAGGCATGAGCCACCGCTCCCGGCGCCACTCAGCTTTTTATCTTGAAGACAAATTGGAGTTTATTTTATTTTATTTTATTTATTTTTATTTATTTATTTATTTATTTTTTGAGACAGAGTTTCGCTCTTTCACCCAGGCTGGAGTGCAGTGGCGAGATCTCGGCTCACTGCAAGCTCTACCTCCCGGGTTCACGCCATTCTCCTGCCTCAGCCTCCTGAGTAGCTGGGACTACAGGCGTCCGCCACCATGCCCGGCTAATTTTTTTTGTATTTTTAGTAGAGACAGGGCTTCACCGTGTTAGCCAGGATGGTCTTGATCTCCTGACCTCGTGATCCACCCGCCTTGGCCTCCCAAAGTGCTGGGATTACAGGCTTGAGCCACCGCGCCCGGCCAAATTGGAGTTTATTTTAAATCAAAAGCCTATTTATTGAGTGCCTACTATTTGCAATCCATGGTTTTAGATTCTAGTACTAGTTGAGGAACATGGCATATAAGGTCCCTGCTTTCTTGGTAATTTTACTCTAGTAGGGGAGACAAGTAAACAAATGGACATTAATTTTGGGTGGTAAGTGGTAGGAACACAATGAAACAGGATATGCAACAAAGTTAGGTGCGGGGAGGAAGAGGTGGAGCTCCTTTAGACTGGGTGGTTAAGGATGGGCTCTCTGAGGTCATAGCTGAGCTGAGGCCTGAATGATGAGAGTAGGAAGAGCATTCAGAATAAGACTTTGAATGAAGAAAAAGCTCTGTGGAAAAATTTGAAAACCACCTAGTTACTCTTCTTTTATATGTATTCATTTAATTAAATTTCAAAAGTAATATGTATTCATCGTAAAAAATTTTCAAACCTTATTATTGTATTTAAGGTAAAATGTAGAAGCAGCTCCTATCTCCATGTCACCTCCCTCTACCTCCGTTTCCACTTCCTGGAGAAAATCCCTTTATAGGATAGGTAGGTAATCTCCCAGATTTCTCTCCATGCATTTGCAAATCTATATATATATGTTTTATTTTAAAATTTGTATTTATTAAGAGATGAGTCTTACTCTGTCACCCAGCCTGGAGTGTAGTGTTGCAATCATAGCTCACTGCAGCCTTGAATTTCTGGCTTCAAGCGATCCTTCTGCCTCAGTCTCCCAAGTAGCTGGGACTACAGGTGTGAGCCACCATGCCCGCCTAATCAAATCTGTATGTTAATTACCAACTTTATTTTCAGTTGATTGTCTCCTAAAACATTCAAGTTTAACAAGTCCAGAATGGTACTCTGGATTCTCTTTACTAAACCTCTTCCTTCTCTGGGCTTTCTCATCTTAGTCACGGCACCACCATCTAACATAGGTTCAGTCCTAACGCTTGGAGATACTCTTAAGTCGTTATTTGCCATCTGACTAGATGTCCAATCCCCTAGCACATACTGCAGGCTCTACCTCCAAAATCTGCCCAATATCTGGACAATGCTTACACTCTCCACTGTGTCCAGCCTGATCTAAGCCATCGGCTTACCTTGCCAGGACCTCCCGATTGCACTTCATCCTACCATTGTTATCTTCTACAATCATTCTCCACCTAGCAGCTGGAGTGATCTTTTAAACATCATGAATGCAGTCATGTCCCTCCTTGCTTAATACCCCAGTGGCCTCCCATCACCCTCGGGAATAAAACCCAATCCCTTCACATGAATCCTAAATGATTGGACCATTGTCTTCCTCTCCAATCTCATCTTGTTCCTTTCTTCTCTTATTCATTATCCTCATCTACATTGTACATTCCTTCCTTTTCTCCTTCCTGTTGTATCTGGAGGCCTTGAATTTGCTGGGCTGATTCTTTTTTCTTTTCATTTTTATTAATTTTTTATTTTTTAATTTTATTTCAATAGTTGTGGGGAACAGGTGGTTTTCGGTTACATGAATAAGTTCTTGGGCCGGGCATGGTGGCTCATGCCTATAATCCCAGCACTTTAGGAGGCCGAGGGGGGCAGATCACCTGAGTTCTGGAGTTTAAGACCAGCCTGACTAACATGGAGAAACCCCATCTCTACTAAAAACACAAAATTAGCTGGGCGTGGTGTTGCATGCCTGTAATTCCAGCTACTCGGGAGGCTGAGGCTGGAGAATCACTTGAACCTGGGAGCTGGAGGTTGCGGTGAGCCAAGATTGTGCCATTGCACTGCAGCCTGAGCAACAAGAGCAAAACTCTGTCTCAAAAAAAAAAAAAGATAGCTCTTTAGTGGTGATTTCTGAGATTTTGGGGCACCCATCACCTGAGCAGTGTACAATGTACCCAATGTGTAGTTTTTTTATCCCTCATTCCCCTCCTACCCCTCCCCCAGAGTCCCCAAAGTCCATTCTGACTTTAGCTCAACGTCATCCTCCAGGGAGGCCTCCCGTCATGGCTCCATGTAAAATCACCTCCCTTTCACCCTCCGCTCTCTCCTCCCCCGGCCACCTTCTTTTATTTTCTGTTTATTATTTCCTTTATAGTATTTACATTATCAGAACTGAACTTCCTTATATGTTTCTTTGTTTCTTGTCTGTCCCTTCCACGTGCTTGGAACACAGGATCCATGGGGTAGAAAGCTTGACTTTTATCCTTGTTTGCGGACCTAGTGATGGATAAATAAAACTGTTTCCAGATTGTTGCTAATGAACAAGGCTCTAGTGAACATTATTGTACATATATCTTCGGGTAATCTTTGATAGATATTGTCAAATTACTGACCAAATTATGATATTAACTTGTACTCCCATCGACTTTGATCAATGGCTTTCTCCATATCTTTGTTAACACTGGATCATACAAATCTTTTCCCTCTTTTTGGCCTATGTTATGAGCAAAAATCAAGTATTTTACTTTGTTTTAATTTGTATTTCCCTGATTATGTGAAGTTGAATATTTTTTCGTGTGCTTTTTGGTCATTTGTACTTTTTATTTCGATGACAAACATGTTGCTAGCCCCACTCTCAAACATGGTTCTGTTTGTAAGAAATAATAAACAACTGGTAGATGATTACAGTGTCTGCTACATGTCATGTGGTTATATATTTTTTTCTGGCTGTTTATCTTATTGATTGGTAAGAACTCTTTATGTTTTCTGGAGTTAACTTTGCTGTATGTGTCACAAATATTCTGTTTTTCCTTTGTCTTTCAATATTGCTTAAGATATTAACATTTTTTTAAAACATGGAGATAGATTCTTAACTTTTCCATTTCTGTTATTGTAAAAATAGCATGTGCACCTGTGAAATGTTTTAAAATCTATAAAAAAGTATTCAATGAAAAGTGATTCTCTCCCATGACACTAAGGTAAACTTGTTATGTTAGGCCATTCTTCCATTGCTAGAGAAATACCCGAGACTGGGTAATTTAAAAAGAAAAGAGATTTAATTGGTTCACAGTTCTGCAGGCTTTATAGCAAGCATGGTACTGGCATCTGCTTGGCTTCTGGGGAGACCTCAGGAAGCTTACAATCATGGCAGAAGGCAAAGGGGGAGCAGGCACGTCACATGGCCAGAGCAGAAGCCAGTGAGAAAGAGTGGAGGAAGGGTGCTGCACACTTTTAAATGATCAGATCTTATGCGAACTCAGAGTGAGAGCTCACTTGTCACCAAGGGGAAGGCCCAAGTCATTCACGAGGGATCCACCCCCATGATCCAGACACATCCCACTAGGCCCCACCTCCAATACTAATTCAACATGGGATTTGGTGGGGATTTACATTCAAACTACATCACTTGTGTATCCTTTCAACATTTTCTTCATATGTTTACATGGACATTCATTCATCATTCATTTATCATTCATTTCTCCAGTAAATATTTACAAGTCATTTATACTTTTAATAGATACTTACTGGCTATCTAGTATGTTCCTGGCATTGTACTAGGTATATAAAAAAAAGATTATATCTATATGTGTGTGTGTGTGTATATATATATATATATATATATATATATAGTCTACCTTTGGTTTTTGGGGGGAAGATGTGCTGTCTTAATTCTTATTTTTACATTTGAGATGCTTCTATACTACCATAAACATATCTACCTCATTGTTTTTAATGTTTATTTTATTTTATGTATATACCAGAATATATTTAATCTGGTCCTTATTGATGAACATTTACATTGTTTCCTGTGTTTGCAATTACAAACAATGTTGTAGTGAATATCCCTGTAGCTATATCTCTGCAGGCATGTACAAATATATCTGTAGCACAGACTCCTAAAATGGAATTGCATTTTAAGTTTGATAGACATTGCCAAATTGTCCTCCAAAGCTGTGTTCCAATTCACACTCCCGTCAAATGTGTGAGAGCGCCCATTTCTCTGCTTTATTTGCAGCCCTGGATATTATCAGTCTTAATTTTTTGCAAGCATAATGGGCAAAGAATGACATTTCATTGTTTTATTTTGCATTTACCTCATTAGGAGTGAAGCTGAGAATCTTTTCATATGTTTATTGGTCATTTGTATTTCTTCTGTGCTGTCTACACTCTTTCTCTGTGTTTTTATATTGAGTTGCCTTTAAAAAATTTAAATTGATCTGTAAATTCCATATAGTATGGATATTCATGCCTTGTCTATTATGTGTTGCAAATAATTTTTGCCAAGGTACCCTTAGTCTTTTAATATTGTTTATGGTAGAACCCCACTTTTTTGATGGAGAACACAGTGTGGTCCTGTGCAGACCACATTTCTATAATGTCTTCCTGCAGATGTCTGAAACTATGTTTAGGGTAGTTTTTTCTTTTCATTCAAAATTCTTAAATGACTATGGCAGAATCCTGATGTAAAGGCAAGGAAGAATATTTCACTGACTTTGTGGTTGTCATTTTCCTTGTGTTGACAGGGCACTTCCTTATTTTTGTCATTTTCCTTGTGTTGATAGGGTACTTCACCATTTATTTGCACATTTTCCTACAAATGAAAGCTTTTTGTTTTTCTGTTTAAAATGTTAGGACTGCATGTCTGTTTTCTAACTTAAAAGGTTGTATTACATGTAACACTGGATGGCCCCTCATCCTTGCTTTAAATCATCATTTTAACAACTACTCCAGGGAGTTCTAGTGATTCAGTGGAAATGACTCAGGCGCCATCAGTGGGCGTGGACTAAAGAGGATAGGTAGAGGTTCCCACCCTTCTTCCATTTGAAGAGCTGCAATTAGGCTTCTGTATTATTCCTTCTGGAGAAAGCAAGGGTTTTTGTCTTAGCAATCTTGGACTAGAGTGAGGTCTTTATTTTCTAAAGCTGTGAAGTTCTGGGGACTTCAAAGAATGTACTCCTTTTATATTATAATCTCTCCCTCCCCTCCTAATATGAGACCTGTCTTCAAGCTTCATTCATTCCAACTTCATTTGGACATAACAGTGCTCAACTCGTACTAGATATTTTCTCTCCATTAAACAAAGCCATATTAGCTGAATGCTCATAGGTATTCATAGCATAGATTTTGGTTAATAGACCATCATGAAATCATTCTTTTTTTTTTTTGTGAAAGTACTACGTAGTAAGATTCATCAGTCTCTTATTTTTAGAGCAACAGTAACTCACATCTGCTGAAATATATGAAAGTTCCTATTTCAATCAAGAAGTTCATCTGGGGCAAAGGTACAGCAAGAAAGGAAGCAAGTGGAGGGACATTTCTGAACATAATCACCAATAATTCCCTATAGCTGTCATGGTGCTTTTGACTACAGTACTGGGAACTCCAACCATGAAGATAATAATGATTTTTTTTTTTTTTTTTTTAACAAGAAGCCCACAGTGCTGGTTAATTCAACAGCTCAACAAAGACCAAGGTTTTTTGTATCTTGCACAATATGGTCGCTGTGGTTCGGGGGCACGTGCACATGCAACATTGTGTGGTGTTTTCACTGCTGGTGAACTCTCCACCAAGTCTCTTTTCAAGAGTGAAGAACCTCCTGTCCCCAACCCAGAAGCTGATTTCCTCATGTCTCATTTGTTGGAACTGAAACACATCTTCACTCCTAAACTGATTACTCCCAAATAAGTGAGATTAGTTCAATCAATTTACTATCTGTTCAAGATTTTACACTGAGCTGGGGAGAGGGTCATCTTTCCTTGAGTGTTGGTTACCTGGTCATAATCGGAGAAGGTATTGTTAGGGGGAAAGCATAGGCAATCAAGAGAGTTGCTAGGATATTGCTTTTATTTTAGTTAATGTTTGTTTTCCAAAACATTAACACAATTATTGTTGAAGCAACCTGATTTAGTCTTTGGAAATTTTATGGTTCACTTCAAATGATTGTAAATAAGAAAGACAGTGTGCATGTCCATATCTGAAATCTTGTTCCACTTCTGAAAGGAGCACTGAGTAGGGAGGGGAATAGAACTTTGTTGCTGTGAACAGAATTACTGAATAGTTGGTGTTAAGAAAAAAGAATCAGATTTATTAGAGGCAGAACTAGATGTACAGTTCCTTTATAATCTCCTCACTCTTCTCTGAATATTTAATACACACTATCCAATTTTAGAATTTCATCTGTTGGAATTTGCATCCATCTAGTTTGGCAACAATGGATGGCAACCATCTACTAATGAGTTTTAATAAATGAATTAGTTATTATGATTTTGTTTTAGATTGGTTGAAAGGAGTTTGGGCATAACAGTGCTCAACTGGTTCTAGATATTTTCTCTCCATTAAACAAAGCAATATATATATATATATATGATTTTTTTTCAGATAGCAATTTGCAGGTTCCACATGTTGTCTAAAGAAAACAATGGTGGGGAACAACTTGGATTGTGCTAGTGGGGTATTACATACCTTCATGAAAGTTGACTCTGTGGTAGGTAAAGTTTGCAAGGTACAGATTTCCATGGACAGAGATAAAATTGTATGTGTTCTGACTAAAGCCACTGCTGGGCTCTGAAGACACTGGAAATCTAGTTAAGTTACATGCAGTGCATACTGTTCAGAGCATGGCAAGAGTAACAAGAAGATTATGCACTGGGTCAGGACGCATGTGGTGCCCAAGGAAGAGCACCAACTCCAGAAGACATGAATTATACGATAGGTAGCTCCAAGCTATTTGAGCTGAAATTGACCCTTCGGGGTCTGGAACCGAGTTCAAATTTCCTCATGCTGTCATGCCATGGAATGCAGAAAGGGGAAGAGCAGAGAAGTCTCACCTCTTACTAGGCTTTTATATGCTTGCAAACAGCAGAACTTATTCTCCAAAGTAATTTTTCTTCATGCATCCAGACCTTTGAACCGTGCAGCCCAGAGTCAAGCCTTGAGCTTCTATAGCAAGTCATCATGAAATTCAATGCCATTCTCAGCCTTGGCAAATATATTTTTCCACTGCCTGGGAGCTCCAGAGACCTGGTGGTCCTGACCTACTGAGGGTTGGAGCTAAAGAGACATGCTGATGATGGTGGTCTCGGGATGGGAATGAGTAGCAAACAAAGGATGATCTGTGTGTGTGTGTGTGTGTGTGTGTGTGTGTCAGGGCGGGAGAGTGTGTGTGTGTGTGTGTGTGTGTGTGAGAGATAGAGAGACAGAGAGAGAGAGACTGAGAGACTGAGAGAGAATGTACCTGTTTCTAAGAGAAGCCCTGGTAACAGGTTTCTGGGTAAATGAAAGTTGTATTGTCTTCCATCAGAGATGACTTGAAAATAAAGTGCTTTAATGCTAATACTGCAGATGTCTGCAGGAAACTCAGCACCACACTGAACACTGTAGTTAGTTAGCTGTGCAAAAAAGTACATGAAGGAAAGGGCTAATGTGCAATACTTCTATTTAAGATAGAAGGAGGAAATAGAAATTGTGATAGCATGCTATTTCAAGTAATAATAGAAAGTACTTGATGTTTACATGGTGAATGGATCAATACTAATTGTGTAGTCAGCGCACATACAGTAGTTTGGATTATACAAGTGATAGATGCACTCAGTATAGCTGAAATTTCCACCCTGCAACATTTATTTCTTGCTGCGTGTTAGATGGAATTTTCCACCCAACTATCTGGAAGGATTTGCATAAGAATGGTGATAGAGCAGTATTCTTTAATGATGTGCTTTTCTTTGTTAAACTTCAAAAATGTCTATGGTGCATGATGAGGTTTGGGTGAATTGCCAAGCTAATGCTTTTATATTTTCTTTAAAGAGCTTATCTTCACTGTGTTGTGGGAGTTACTTTATATTGTGGTTATAAAGGCAGTGGCAGTAAAGTCGAATTTGTAGCAACCCCCAATAAATGCCTCCTCCTCCTCAAGAGCTTGGTCCTGTTAAGAAGGGAATTTGGGAAGGCACTTGGCTGCTACTGGTTCAACTGCAAGGAGTCCGTTGAACTCATTTTATGTTCTGTACCTGGTTCTGCTCACCAAGAAGTGAGGAGGCCATTCTCCAGCTCCAGCTCAAACAATGACCTCTTGTTAGCCTAAATCAGCACCGTTCTGTCAGACAGGCTTGAGATCAGCCCAAAGTCTGGTGCTTTCATGAAGTTGAGTTGAATTATTCAGATGAGAGTCTGGGAGCAAATGCTGTTCGAAAAGTGACCTTTTTGTCCTCCCCACAAGAACCTAATGTTTACAATGTGAGGAGGAAAAGGGACTGGAATCTTGGGAATTCCAGGAATGCAGTCACCAAGCAAAAGAAGACTCACTCTCCAGATTTTGCTCCTCAGCAAGGATTTGCAAGTACAAAAGTGGAAAAACAAAACCCCAAAGCTGGAGCTCAGAAGGGTAGTCCAATAGAGGACTTCACATTAACCACAGTTTCAATGAAACAAAGAATTTTGAAACCCAAGTGTGGAAGGAAGCTTAGAGGTCACTTAATCTGACCCTTTGCCTAATGCATGCATCTTTTTCCCAACACAGCTTTGCAGCTCATTGATCATAAATTGTTGCATGAATACAGCCAAGGACAAAGAATTCACTTTCTCCCAACAGCAAGGATAACAGATGACATGACATGGAGGACTTACTATGCACCAGGCATAGTGGCAAGCCCTTGAGATTCATTATCCTATTTAATGTGCACAGCAGCCTTATGAGGTAGGTAGTTATTGTCATTCCCATTTTACAGATGGGGAAATGGAAGCTTTCTGTGTTGCAGGAAAGGGATTTAAGCCCACAAAGCTCCAGTTTTATGTCCTTAACCCCTAGACTCCTCTGCCCAGCCTGTTGCAACATTGGTAGTGCTGATCATTACTCTTCTTTCCTTTGGAGACACTTGGAACACACCTTGCTCCTTTTTTTACATGATAGCTCTTCAAGCGTTTGAGGCAGCTTTCCTGTCCCTCTTCTGGTTTCTCAGTTCTTTTTCTTTCTTTTTAATTCCAAGAAAACATTCTCCTTTGGCTCAGTTTGATGAGTTCCTCTAGAAACATTTCTGTTTACCAATGCTCTTCTCAAAGCATTTCATTTATTTATTGAACATTTTACAGAAACCTCATACTTTTGCTTTCTTTTATTAGGAGACAGTGGGCTTTATTGGTGACATCTAACCATGAAGGCATCTATTTTGGGTGCCCAGGGAGCCTTTCCAAAGAGCACATGATGAACTTTTTCCACAGCCCTTTATAGGGAGAAGGCATTAAAAAAATCCAAAGCATTAAAATAAGCCAGGATTGAGCTTCTATGTCATCCCTGGTAGAAAAGGCAATGTCAGAATAAAGAATAGGAAGCTTTCTTACAAAGCTTTAGTGGTGGTCCTTCAGGGTCCTGTGGGAGAACTGCTCTTGGTTGCAAAGACAGATCTAATTCAGCTTCTGACCTGGATTCTCTGAAGCTCACTGGCAGGTCACCAAGCCCCTCTGCATTTGCTTCCCGGCTTGTGAAAGGTGATCATGTTGTTGACACTCTGGTGTTATATTTCTTATGGAGCGAGTTCTGACTCAGAATCAGGCAACCTGGGGCTTGTTGCACACCCTTGGGTGAATCACTGTTCCTCTCTGGGCTTTAGTGTCCTCAGGTGTAAAGTGAAGATAAGTAAGTCTTTATAACCAGGTTTGGAAAAACTTAAATGAAGTTACGTTTGTGAGAGCACCAAGCTTCGTAAAAGTTAGTTGAATTGGTCTGTAATGAACCTTGTGTAGGTCTTGCAGGGTTTAAGACTATGACTCATGTAAAATTGCAGTTCATCATAGTAGTGAGGACTAAACTGACCTTTTTCTTCTCTCGCCCAAATTCTTATTGAAGGGCCCTGGGGAGTAACACGCTACAATCCACAAAGTCTCATCAGAAGGGTATTATTTACGCCTACATAAGGCGGCTTACTTTCCAGTCTGACTCTGGCATAGCATCACATGATAAAGAAGGAAATAAAAATATTTTAACCCCAAATATGTTTTATTTGCCCTATCTTGAAATACTCCTGCAAAGCTGACTCTTGTGGGGAAAATCTCCATTCTGAAGAGAATCCCCTTCCTTTTCTTTCCTTTTTCCTAATCCAGGAGAGAATCAACTTTGAGAAGAAACATTTTCAATCTGTTCTCTCTGAAGCCTGCTACCTGGAGACTTCCTCTGCATAATGGGAACTCTGGTCTCCACAAACGCTTTTTTTAACTCAGACATTGCTTTCTATTAATTCTGAGGCGTTAGATAATAATTTAACTTTTTCAACCAATTGCTAATCAGAAAATCTTTGAATCTGCCTGTGACCTGGAAGCCCCTGCTTCCAGCGTCCTGCATTTCCAGACCGAAGCAATGAACATCTTACATGTATTGATTGATGTCTTATGTCTCCCTAAGATGTATAAATTCAAGCCCTATCTTGACTACCTTGGGCACGTGTTCTCAGGATGTCCTGGGGCTGTGTCATGGACTGTGGTCACTTATATTTGGCTCAGGATAAATCCCTTCAAAATATTTTAGAGTTTGACTCTTTTTGTTGATAGTAGAAACAGCTAGCTTTAAATGAGCATTTCCTACCTGCTAGCTTCAGAGTTATATTATCTTGTTCATTTTTCATATGAATTTCATATGAGTGAGATGTTTACTTTTACCTCCCAATGAGGAAACCAAGGAATAGAAAAGGTAAGTATCTTGCTCAAGGTCCTGGGATTAGTAATTGGTATTGCTGAGGTTTGAACTCAGGCTGTCAGGTACTGCTTCTATGCTGCTGATAAATGTATTCTTTAAATGAGTATTATTTTGCTCTGAAGAATCTCTGAGTACTGATGAACTTGTGTTAGAAACATGCTGTTTCCTTCCCAGTCCCTGGAGAACAATGTCTGTTAGGAGTTACATGCATAGTGTCTCCCCAGCCATGAGGAGGGTCTTTCTGATGGTCAAGCTCGATCATTGCAGGCCCATGGAGACCCCCACTGTGGTGCAGCTCTGCATAAATAAAGATCAGCACAAGTGAAACTGCCATTGAGCTAACAAAAGAAATTGATTACAGAGAATTGCATTGAAAGGATTGTAAGTTAAAGACACGGACTTGCTAAAGCAAAGCTATTCTGAGTTAAACAGTGTTCATCACTAGTAAGAAATAGAAAAAAATAATTTTTTAAGGAGCCATTTGTATAAGTCACAATTTTTTCTAATCCCTGTGATTTTCTCCAAATACACATCACTAACGAAATAGTTTTGTTTCCTTACCCACCCATCTTTTTTCTTTTCTGATTTCAGTGCAAAGTTAGAATAGGGAAAGGAAGTGATGGTCCTTTATTGGTTTAAAAATACTTAAGTGTTTTTACACTGTGGGAAACTTGGATTTTCATTTAATGCAGTGGAAAGAACACTGGGTTGTGTTAGAGATTTGGCTTCCAGTCCTGGTTCTGTGTGATGGAAATGTGTTTACCTTGAGGGAAACACATTCCTTCTCTGGGTCTTCTATTCCTCATCTGTTGGGGTTGGTGAAGGTGATTTTTAAAGTTGTCTAAGTCTGGATGCCACATGTCAAAGCAGGTCAAGGCAAGGCAAGGCAAGTCCATTTAGTCAATCAATACCATTGGAGTTCCCATTAAGCATCAGACCTTGTGCTGGGTGCGGGAGTACCAACAGTGAAAACAAAGACATGGAGCTTCAGGCCAGTGTAGTTGTAGCTGGGATTATATCCTACCACTGTGTGGGATTATATCCTACCACTGTGTAGGATTATATCCCACCACTGCCTCTCGCTAGCTAGGGAATCACAGTTCCGTTGTTTTGCTTTTGTGCTCCATTTTCCTCATGAGACTGTTGTGCTAACAAATGTATACATGTCAAGAGATTTCCATGGTGCCTGGCACTTAGTAAACATTTAAATAACATTGGCTTTTACTAGAATTATTATTGGAGGAGGGAGGCAGATGCTAATCAAATAATCACATATAAGCATAACAAAATCAATTTCCTAAATGTTCTGAGAAGGATTTCCTGTTATCAGAAGGATTTCCTTAGCCTGGGAAGTAGTGATTGAGGTTAAGCTCTGAAGGATAAGTTCATTAGTTGAAGGGAGAGTTGAAGGGAGAGTGGAATAGAGTCTTAGGGAGGTGGAACAACATAGCAAAACTTCTATAGAGGGCAGAAGCACAGATTTTTGGGAACTTAAAATAGGCCAGAACAAAGAAGAACAAGGAGAAACATGGCAAGAAAGGCATTTAGAGAGGGGAACAGGGACCATTTGAGCCTAAGATGTTAGAAAACTGGTTTTTCATTTGCTTAATGGAGGTCAGGGTTCCAGTTACAGCCATGTCTCTGATACCCTGAAGTGCTGTTTGACAGGGTTTTGGCTTTCTTTAGGGTAGAATCTAGGAGGAACCAGCTTCTGAGTGACACTGGGACAGTACATGTGATGAGTGATGGCTCAGAAGGGTTGGTATCACCTGGACCGTCATGTTCTTAGGTCATGCTTCAGGGACCAAAGTCCCAGACTTAGGTCTCATCATTTCAATGCCCTCTTCAATGTCCTATGGCTGGTCAGATCTGAATAGAGATGAAAGGCCAAACTGAATTTTTCCCTGTCTATAGGGAGACAAGTCTTAACAGGCCTTCAGCTATTGGGATCACATTCATTATTTAAGAATCTGAAAAAACTTGGGGATTATCTATCTAGAGAGATGCATCTACATGTTTGAACCCAAATTTGAGTGCATTTTTAGGTTGGGTATGTAGGTCCCCATGAAACTCATTCATGGTCCCAGTTATATATCCTTTCACTGTGTCTTAGTGCATTTAGTGTTGCTATAAAGAAATATCTGAGGCTGAGTAGTTTATAAAGGAAAGAGGTTTATTTGGCTCATGGTTCTGCAGGCCGTTCAAGAAGCATCATGCTGACATCTGCTCAGCTCCTGGTGGGGGCTTTTGTGTTGTGTTGAAACATGGCAGAAAAGGTCAAAAGGGGAGAAGGCATGTGCACAGGGGGATCAAACCCAAGGGTTGTTCTGGTTTTATAACAGCCCACTCTCATGGGAACTAATTCATTCCCCTAAGAGCCAATCCAGTCTCACCAGAGCAAGAACTCACTGCCCTGAGAACAGCATCAAGCCATTCATGAGGGATCCACTCCCTAGACCCAAACACTTCCCACGAGGCCCCACCTCCCAACACTGCCATGTTGGGATCAAATTTTAAAATGAACTTTGTTGGGGACAAACAAGCCATATGCAAACCACAGCATATTGCAAGGCAATGTCCGGCATTGAAGCCTGAGGATCCTCTTTCTCTGTCTCCCTGCTCTCCGGTCTGTCCTCTCTTTTGCTTTTCTACTGTTGTTGCCTTGATTTTGGACCTTCATCAGTATCCCTCTAGGCTATTTTTATTTCCTCTGGATTTGTCTCTCTGCATTAATTTCTCCCCCTCCAAATTCATTCTCTACATAATCTATAGAAAAAAATTATATTGAAACGGTGTATGTGAGATAAAAGTTAATAAAATTATAAAAATTTATTTTTAGGATAAAGCAATAAGGTTTATTATAGATACTTTGGAAGATACATGTAAGTTTTAAAAATTCATAGTCTCAGCACCCAGAAACAACCAATGGTAAATTTTTCTTTCAGTGTTTTTATATGGAAAATTTCTTTTTAGTAGTTGTGATCAAGCTATACGCCTGTGTATTTTTATATTGAAATGTTTTAGTTGACATTTATTTTTTCTTTAGTTCAAATGCACGTATTTTTAAAATTTTTTTATTATGGAAAGTTTTTTTTTTTTTTTTTTTTTTTTTTAAGACAGAGTTTTGCTCTTGTTGCCCAGGCTGGAGTGCAATGGCATGATATCGGCTCACTGCAACCTCTGCCTCCCGGGTTCAAGTGATTCTCCTGCCTCAACCTCCTGATTAGCTGGGATTACAGAAACCAACCATCAAGCCCAGCTAATTTTTTGTATTTTCAGTAGAGACAGGGTTTTACTATGTTGGCCAGGCTGGTCTTGAACTCCTGACCTCAGGCGATCCACCCACCTCGGCCTCCCAAAGTGCAGGGATTACAGGTGTGAGCCACCGCACACAGCCTATGGAAAGTTTTAAACATACACAAAAAGAAAGACATTATTATAATGACCCCCTCCTCCACACACCCAACATTTACCTTCAGAAATTATCAAACTTTTATCAGTTAGCTTTTGATGTGTAACAGTTGGCCTCAAAATTTAGTGGCTTAAAATAACAACTATGGATTTAGTTCATAATTCTCTGGAGCAGCAATTTGGGCTAGGCTCAGCTGTGTGGTTCTTTTGTTAGTCTTGACTGACCTCACTCATTCATCTGTGTGCATCTGTGTTTCACTGCCACTTAGCTAGATGGCTCTCCTTCTGGGATTGCTAGCTGATGTCAGGGGTGACAGGAAGAACTAAGTCCTTGTATCTCTCACCATCCACAGACTATCTTTGGACTTCTTCATGCTGTGATGGAAAGATTCCAAATATAGAGAGAGGGCAAGTATCAGTGCACAAATACTTTTCAAGTCTCTGCTTGCATCTCATTTACTAATATTTTACTGGCCAAAGCAAGTCACAGGGTCAATCTATCCTCAAAGAATTGAGAAATAGATTCCACTTCTTAAAGGATATCACACATCAATTGCAAGGGCAAGGGTGTAGGGTGCAAAAAAATTTGTGGCCATTCTTATAATCTTCTACAAATGTATTACTAATCTTAACATTAGTAGGTCATCATTTTTTGATGTTATTGGTAACTTGTTGTAAATATAATTTAGATGGCTAAGTAATATGTTACCTAGTGGATGTACTGAAGGTTGCCTGACCATTCCCTTATGTTGGGTAGTGAGAAAATTGCCATTTTTTTCTGCCATTATGAGTAATGCTACAATGGATGCTTTGTCACAAAGCTTTTTCTGGTTTTAGGATTATTTCCTTAAAGTAGTCACAAAAGTGATATTACTGTGTTAAACATTTTTAGAGCTCTTAGTACACTTCGCCAAATTGCTTTCCAAAAGGATTGTATCAATTTACCCTCCCACCAATGTGTGTGAGTACCCCACAGGGATCCTTCTGCAATGCAAATCTGATTGTCTCATGCCTGGTTTAAAACTGGGCTCTGTTGCCTTCACAATAAAGACTAAACTATCTAAGACAAAACTATACCTACTACATGATTTTTGAATAACTGAAAGACTATTTTAGCTTGATGAGACCCTATATTCAAGGGTTATAGAAGCTAGTAGGAGGCAAGACTGGGTAGGTTCAGAACCCAGTTTTCATATTTTCCTGATGGAAACCTGAATTTCTATCATTTTCATGTTGTTTTCAATTAACATGTTGTTGCATGTTTTCAATATGTAAGTATATTATGGAAGAGAAAACTGAGGGTCAGAGAGTTCAGTGCTTAGAGTGGAAACTTACAGCTTTCTATCTGTGGTATCATCTAACTATTTTGCATCATATAATCTTTGAAGAGGAATTCATATACATAAGCTTAAGAACATATTTAACCAATATAAATACATTATAACACACATTTGTTTTGCTGGTTAGAATTCTCTAGTTCTTAAAAATTAAAGACTAAAATTTAGAGTGAGACAGATCTGGATTTGAATTCAGGTTCTGTCATTTACTTGAATTTGAGCAAGACTTAACATCTCTAAGCTTCAATTTTGTTATCTGTAAGACATGGATAATAATACCTAGGTCTTAAGGGTTTGGTGATGATTCAACCTATATTTCAAATGTCAAGCAGAACCATTCAACAGTTCTTCTTATTTGAGATGAATATGTAAATAGAAGGGAAAAAATAAATGTAACCAAAATTAGGAGGCTTTACTAATTTAAGACTATAAATAAAACTGTGTGAATTTTAAAAGTTACCATGGTTTGGGACCTAGTTCAGTCTACTAGTTGAAGTTCTTGCCTTTTCTGAAGTTTACCTGTTCTCAATATTTGTGCTAGCCACAAGGGTGATGAATCATTGCTTCTCCTTGATGCTCACTTATCCCCTGCCTAAAAGGGAGAGCAGAGACCAAAATGACTTCCTTGAGGTGAAGTTCCTCAACCAAGGATTTCCTGGCAGTCCTGTCTGCTCTTCTGGATGCCTCCAGCACCCCATGGCCAGGGAGGAAGGCAGCTATTGATGAGAGCAGGGCTTGCACTTTATTATTTCTCCAGAGGAGTATCTGATGAAGCTTTCTCTGGGCCCCGAGGATCTCAGGACTTGCCTGTTATCCCATTACAGGTAACATATCTACACATTTACTCAGGGCCACCTGGTTTTCTGCTGCTTCTTTACTTAGGGATATTCTAGAATGGCATCATTCAATAGAAATATAGTGTGAATCACATATATAGCTTTGAATTTTCTAGTAGATACACTAAAAAAGTATATATACATATAGATGAAATTAATTTCTATAATGTGTTATTTAACCCAATATACCTAAAATATTATTTCAACATGAAATCTATTTACAATTATTAATGAAATAATTGACATGATTTTGTTTGGAGTTTTTGAAATCTGGTGTATATTTTACCTCTGCAGCACATTTGAAGTTGGACTAGCCACCTTTTAAGTATTCAGTAGGCACACGTGGCTAGTGGCTACTATATGAGACAACACAGTTCTAGAGGAAAACTACCTGGGCTCTAAGTGATACAACTCTCCAGGAGTGTAGGTCTTGTAACTATTTTCCCTGAAAACCTACTTCTGCCTCCAGCTAAGCTGGGTCTGTAAGGATCTTGGTTTACTACATACTGGGTCTAGAATTTGTCCCATTAACCTATTATTTACTGTGTTTATTTTACCAATCAAGACAATATTTCCCATTCAGTGAATTCCCTTTCAGTGGTCTCTTGTGTCTCTCTTTCTATTTTAATTGCTCCTACCCTGATGTATTAGAGAAAAATGTTTTTTAATCTTTGAATATAAACATATAGAGGGCAAGAGAGTCAGAGTCTTAATTAACTTCATTTCTCCCATGAGGCTCCTTTGCTCCTATGTGAATTTGTGGATACAAAGTGATATGTGGGAATCTGTAACCCAAATGCTGTACAAGGATATGATGGGGAATGGATGATTCTTAGCAATAGCCAGCAGTGTCTGAGCGTTAGGCAATGGCCTAGCTAAAATGTTCTGATACATAAGTAATAATGACATGCTCAAGGAAGTGTGATGTTAGATGGAGTATAAAGGAATGATATGGAGGCGCAGAGAGCAAAAACTTCCATACTGGCAGAGACCTCCTAGAGGAAGCAGCACTGGGAAGAATTCTCAATAATGTTAATAGGGTCAACAAGGTCCTACCGAAAACAAGAGCTTCACATGCCTGATTTCTTGATGTAGGAATTATTATCCTTTTTTCAAAGATGAAATAGTGAAACTCAGAGAGGTTAGATAACTTAGGCAAGGCCAAAAATGAAAGGACCCAGGTCTAGGGGGGGGGGTAATCCAAAAACCCTTTTCATTGATTTATTGCTGCCTTTGACTATTAGGTGGTTAAGGATTGACTCAAGGGATCACTTGGAGTGTACATGATGAGACTTCATTAGAGAGCAAGAAGTCTTCGCAGCAAACATTTATAATTTCTTACAAAGGATATATTATAGTGTATCATTGTTCTAGCTGCTATTGCAATGAAACAAATTACTTCAAAATGCCATAAAACAACCCCTTATTATGCTCCTGACTCCATGGGTTAGGAATTCAGACAGGGCAGAGTGACGTTAGCTTATCTCTGTTCTATGTCATGTGAGGCCTCAGTTGGAAGACTCAAAGGCTGAAGGCTGGAATGATTTGAAGACTCATTCACTCGGGTATCTGGTGGTTGATGGTGGTTGAGGCTGGCTGTTCTCCGTGTAACCTCCCTGTGTCATCTCTCCAGGAAGAAAGCTTTGACTTTCTCACAGTGTGGTGGCTGGGTTCTAAAGGCTAGAATCAGATAGAGTCACATTGCTTACCATTGCCTTGCCCCAGAAGTCATGTACCATGTACTCATATGTTATATTCAGCAGGGTGGTCACAAAGCTCCATCTAGTGTCAGTGGGAGGTGAGATAGACTTTGCCTCTTGATAGGAAGTGGCAAGGTTCCAGAAGGGCATTTGGGACCAGAAATATTGCTGGTCCCAATGTGAGGAAAATACATCCTGCCACAGTTATTATCAGTGGTGTTGACCAACTGCTGGATAAGGAAGGAAAGATAGATCAGTAACTGGGAAGAAAATGTTTTATTGGAATGCCAGGCTTTTTTAAGCAAATGTCAAAATAGTGAAAGGGAATTAGGAAAATGATGGAAAGTCAAATTAGTTCAAATGCAAATGGGGAGGCTTCCTCCTGCTGAAGACCCCTTCAAGAAAGCTATGATGTCACTCTTCACTCTTGTCCCCTGGCCTTATGCTCTTCCTTGCAGCCTCCACTGGCCAGGGCTCTGTGTCCTATGTAACCTTTGGTAGCCCAGTCCCAGGTAGAGCCATGACAGGTTGCCTTGGGCCTACCCTCCTTTCTTCATGGCTTAACCTCAAGCCCTCTTTCACTAGAGATTTGGAATTTCATTAAATCAGGGCTTGAACTGAGAAATAACGACTGTCTTTATATGCACTGGCTCTTTACTGGCAAGCTATTATATTAGAGAAAAGCTAAGGTTCTATAACACTGCAGGAATAAAGCCCAGAAAATTTGCGAAAAGCTCCACCATCCAGGATAAATGTTATAGGAGGCATTAACCTTCCATAAAAATCCCTTTGCTAGACAAGAATTTAAATGACCGTCACTGTGAGAGGAGATATTTAGCCTTAGAAACATATTATACTGCCACCTCCTCTTAAAATAGCAAATTCTTTGGTTATCAGTAGTTGAATATTGTTCATCTTTTTCAAAGACATGCTCAGAAATATAGCAAATGTGTATGTGTAGTTTTGTGGGTGTACCCCGTATACCATTTCATAGTTCCAAGAAGTTGTATATACAGTCTCTACTTCTATTTGGGAAAATTGAATAAGAAACTAATATCCAAGCTAAGCTGAATCAAACTCTTCTTGCAGGCTCCAAATTACTTGCCTTGAAGAAAAAAAATTTTTTCTCCCTAAGGCATAAAGCATGATTCTACAATGAGAATGTTAGGTCAGAAATTACAGAGATTATATAAAGTTGGCTCCTCCAGTGAACAACAAACCCATAGGGCAAAGATTTTATAGAAAATTTTATATACATTTTCCATATATGTGTTTATATATGTTTGGTGAAAATCTCAGGTGATCTTCTAATACTGATTATTCTGCTTTAAATCCTCATTCTCTGTGTCCCAACATTGGAAGCATTTGTAACAGAGTGAGAGACCAGACTCTTCCCTATTATCTTAGAGTCTCACTGAAGCTCTAGAGCTGCTTGCTGTAATTCCAGAGTTTGGCTTGAAAAAGATACTGAATTTCTTAATGGGTTGAGTGGATACAAGTTGTTAGTGTCTACCCTTTTGAGATCTACTGTTCTTCCTAAGTGGTTGCTCCCTAGGAATTCACAAATGAGACATTATTTTTCTTTCTGTTGAGAGAACACCTTTGACAATATTGTTTGAGGACCCAGAACTGAAACTTATAATGGGTGGTTGACAGATCCACAATTGCCTTTTAGTTCTTTTAACCATGTTGGCATATTCATGAGTTGATAACTTTAAGAATTTTAAGACTTTCTCCAGACTAAATCACAATAAAACGAACTGAGATTAACTTTGAGAGCTGGAAACAGCTATAAAAAATGAAAATAGACTTAGAGATCTATTAGGGAAAAGTCTGTATGGTTTTTTCCTAATAATAAAATAATGAGGTACTGTACTAGTTTGTATTAGAAAATACTTATTTAGAATATTGGAAAGCTTTATGCTTTAAAGTGGACTAAGTAAAAAAAAAATCTTCAGCACATCATATGTAATCCCAAATGAGATTTGTTATGTTAGGAAAAGTGAAACTATTTATCAAGGGCCACTCTGTGCCAGGCATTATATTCGTTAAATCCATTTGATCACTGGACAATATAGGTGTTATTATCCCACCTTAACAATTAAGAAAACCAGGGCATAAAGAGATCTACCAACTTGCCTAGACTTCACTTTACCTGGAGGAAACCAGAGTTTGCCACCTATCACCTCAGAATCATTTTAGATCGTTAGAGTTTCTCTAAATTTCAACATGGCCAGCCCTTAAGTGACAAACCAAGGTAAAATATCAGATTCTTCCTTTCAGTTAAACCTAATCCATTGACAAATTCTCTCAGTTCTGTTCCTACATTGATCATGAATCTGTGTATTTCCATCTGTCATCACTGGCATCATCACTGGAGTCCAAGGAACCATGATCTCTCTCTAGCCTGACCCCTGCCATGGTTCCGGCCTATGCTCTCTGATTCCTTGCTTGCTCACCTCTCATTATCATCACAGAGAAGCCAGAATGATCTTACAAGAAATAAAAGAAAAATGCATCTCTCTCCTGCTTGGAACTCTCCTGACTTTCTGCTGTACCTAGAACAAAATAATGAATGTCTCATCTTGGCCCACAAGGCCTTGCAGGATCTGCCGCGGCCCTCCTGTCTCTTCGCACCTCTGACAGTCTCCGCTCTGCTCCCAAGCTCCCATCCTTGCTGATATCTGATTATTTCTAGAGAAGAGCAGACTCTCTCCTGCTTCTTGCTTTTTTTCCCCCTCACCTTAGTCTATTCTTCCCCTGGCTCCTCACATGGCTGGATCTTGCCCCTATGGTCTCAGTTTGAAGGCCAGTTCCTCAGTGAGGCCTTCCTGGACCACCTTATTTAAAGCAAACTTCTCCGCTGTGTTGTTTGTTATTACAACACCTTGTTCTCTTTCTTCGAGGCACTGGTGAAAAACTGTGATTTTTTGGGTTGTTTGCTTACTTGTGTGTTATCCCTCCTTGCCCCTTACCCTGCTCTGACTGTAAACCACATGAGAGCAGGAACTCTGTCAATCCATGCCTCAGTGCCCAACACATGGAGGGCATTCAATAATGATTTGATGAATCAACTAGTCCATATTTGGGTGGTTTTTCTGCTCGTTAAGCCCCTCACCATCCCAAGTCATAAAGTCTATTCAATGACCATTTGCTTTTTTAGTGTCTTACTGGCAAAAATATTAGAGTTGGCTTTAAGCCCTCTGGTCTCCTCTCCCGTTTCAACCATTAATTTGCTGTGTAACATGGAGCAAGTCATTATTCTTCTCTGGTCTTCATTATTTCTCTTCTGCTAAATGAGGGGTGGAAAGCAGAGATTCTCTAAATTCCTTCCCAGCCCTGACTTCTGATTATTCCCAATTTCCCTACCACTGTCTTCCCAGAGAAACCTCAATTGAAGTAGCTTGGTTTTAACTAAGTCCTTATATGGAATGCAGTCTGCAATTTATTTAGGTGGGCCCAGTGTTTCTTTTCTGTTTGGAGACTTTTGGGTGATGTTAAAGGAATGCGCTAGGTGCTGATGTCTCGGTGCTGACCCTCTGACAGTGCTGCCCAGGGAGGCAGATGGGTTTACTGCTGGCAGCCACTTGTAATGATGGGGAGAAACCCATTTGCCTCTTGCAACCCTCAGCCAGGTCGGACAAGCACTGAGGAGAGACCAGTACTTAATAATGCATAGTGCTGTCAGCTTCTAATTTTCATCATCCCGGGAGGGGATCCTGGTCTGAAAAAGGTGACTAGAGGCTGAGAAGACAAGTTCCTGAGTATGGGCTGGATTAGGACTGTGTGGCAGGGCCCAGTCAGCCACCTGTGTCCCCTGCCTGTAGGAATCTGCTTTCTTCTACAAGGATTGTCTGGGGATGGAGAAGGAGAGAAAGGTGGGTGTTCTTTGCTGTGCTAGATGCTGTATGTGCACTGCATCACTGAACTCTGTGAGGAAGTTAGAATTTTCATGCTATCCCTATTTTCCAGGTGGGAAAGCTGAAGTGTATATAGAGAGGTTAAGTAACTTGCTTGAGGTCCTAGTGTTAGGAAGTGGTAAGGTTCTGGAGTGTTCCCATTGCAATCCCTACTCCTTTCTTGTCTCATTGGACAGTTTCTGGTATCACAGGGGATCCTGAACACTTCAGAAGGAGCCATTCTCAGGAAACTGTTTGATAAGCCAATGTGGTGGTTGGAGTGTGCTGGGATGATATTTGGCAGACAAATTCCCAAATTCACAACAACTGAGCTTTGCAACTTTATTATTATTTTTAAATAAAATTAGGCAAATTGCATCAGAGGTCAAGATAGAGACAAACAAATGAGTACAGAGAAGAATCCTTTGCTTAATAGGAAAAAAAACCCAATAATGTTCAAGTAAACTTTAAAAAAAATATTTTTATTTATATCTCTGTTGACATCATGGCTTTTGGATATTTTAAGAAAGCTAAAATTTCCTCAAGCCAGCAAATCAACCTTCCAGAAGGTAGCTGAGAGCCAGAAGGAGGAGATATTCAACCATGTTTTTGGAGTGCCGACACTGGTCACTGGAGATAAAAAGGTGAAAACGACACAGCCCCTGCTCTTGCAGTCAGCCTGAGGGTGGAGGTCGGGGATCGACAAGTAAGTGGACAATTTAATACGCTGTGGTTCAGGCTATGACAGGACTGAGGACAGGAGCCTGTGGGAATAGGGGAGCGAAGGTTCTGCAGAGGAGATGAATTTTGAAATGGGGCTAGAGGATAAGCCAGCAACAAAAGGGGGAGAGTGGAGGGACTACAACAGGCAAAGCTGTGGAACCGCTGGACTGCAGAGTGTCTGGGGAAGTAGGAAAAGAGGCTGGAGAGATGGATTATAACCTGCTTGTAAAGAGCTTTGAATTTCAGACTGTGGAACAGAGTAGAGGGAGGTTGTTCTAACAGTCCAGGAGAGATTGAAACAGTCTTGAACCTGGCCAGTGGCAGTGTAGGAAAGAAGAGAAGAAGAGAATAGGACAGTTCCCTATTGCATAAGGAATTCTACCTGTAGAATTCTTATATTAAGATGGTAGAATGGCACAAAGTAGACACTCACTGTTTGAATAAAAGCTGGGTGTTACAGATGGATTGCATTACACATGTGATTAGATATTTACATAGAGATACACACTCACATTCACCAGCTATATAATTTTCATGATAAATAAATATACCTGGGAATTTTAAGTTAAAACATTTATTTTCATAACAGAAAGTGAATGCAAATTATGGCGATTTTGAGGCATCTAATGCTTCGTACATTAAGATGACAAATTGTTCTTTGCAAATAATTCATATTTAGTAACAAAGTTTTCTGCTTGATTGCCTATTATTTTATTGTGCTATTACAGATATTGTATTTGATCTTAGAGTGGAATTTGCTGTTCCATGTCATTAAATAAATTCTCAGGCATATATTTTATTTCATTCCTCAGAGAATTGAAGGAGTTCAGTAGCTTTGAAGCATGTGCCTGTCTTCCAGGGTGTTAGAAAAACAGAAAACACCTTGTTGCAATTCCCTTTTTTTTTTTTTGAAAAAAGATGACATTGAAGATGGGATATGCTCATGGTGTGATGATGGAGGTGGGCTGAACAGCTTATGACTACTTGTCTTTCAGGGCTAGAGAGAGCCCATGACTGCCTGCCCTGCCAGTGTAAATTAGATTCACTTCCCTGCCTGTCCCCCAGTCTATCTCCTGGCACCCTGTTTTCATACTTCACAGTGTTTATCACAATTGTGAATTATATATTTGTGGTAGATTAAATATGGCTGCAAATTCTTCTTCCGTCAGGAAGAAGTGGGGTCTGTGTACTCTCCTTTGAGTCTGGGAAGGCTTCTATGGCTGCTAGACCAATAGAACATGGCAGAAATTATTATGTGGGAGTATCCAGGCTCAGACGTTAATAAACTGGAAGCTTCTGCTTCCCATCTCTTGGAAGACTTCCTGGAGCCTGGAGCTTCTAAGCAAGAAGTCTGATCACTCTGACACTGCCACACTGAAGAGTTCCTGTATAGGCTTTCTGGTCAACTGTCCTAGCTGGGCCCTGTTTTCCAGCCATCCCTGCTGAGGCATATGATGTGCTGGTGAACTACTTTGGACCCTCGAGACTACAGCATATCTGCTAGTTAAATACTGACCTTCATCCACATCATGTGGAACAGAACTGCCTAGCTAAACTCTGCCTGAATTCCTCACCCTCAAAATTGTGAGATGTAATAAAATGGTGGATGCCTTAAGCCATTACATTTTTGAGTAGTTTGTTATGTGGCAATAGACAACTGGAACAACATTCATGTTTATTTACTTATTACTATCTATTTTCTCCTTTAGACTGTAAGCACCACGAGGACAACTGGGGCCATACCTGTTATGTTCACCATTGTGTATTCACTTAGCCCACTCTTGGCACACAGTAAGAATTTAATAACTATTTATTTAAAGAATAAATGGAAGTTCTATGACAGAAATCGGACAGAGTAGTTAGCCTAAAACCTAGGTGTGGATCCTCTACTCAAAGACTCCTTGGGTTTCTTCTAACGTGGTCTGTGTTCTGATATTAAACCTCTTTTGCTTTGTTTGCATGGGATACATTCTGAAGCTAAGGGTGCTGTTAGTTTCGATTGAGGGATATATTCTTTTTTCTAGCACACATCACATGCCCATTTTTTTTCCTGGAGCCAATGGAGGAAGTGTGAACATTATTTCATTCTGGAATTAATTAAGAAGCAGTATCTATCTATCTATCTATCTATCTATCTATCTATCTATCTACCTATCATCTCTATTCATCCATCTAATCATCTCTATATCTATGTATCTATCCATCTATCTGTCTACCAATCATAGTTTTGGTTCTGAGGCTCTGATGCAACACTTGAAAAATAGTTATTGGGTTTATTGGCATTTGATACCTCACTGTGTACGGAGAAACAAGCATGTTTACATTGGAAAGAATGGCTTCCTTGCCTGAATGGCTCTGATAGCCAAGCTTCTGCTTTCTCAGTGTCCACAAATTGTAACCATTAGTAAGGCATTCATTAAAAAGTGGAATGCTGGCACAGAGTGCTTTTTCTTTTCACTACGCAATTGTATATCTGTGCCAGCAAATCTACTTATTATTATTTTGTTTGGTTGCAATTTCACCTCCCACACCACAACATATGGTAAACATTTGATGATTCTTGAAGATTCTTTATTAACTTCTCCAATAACCTTTTTCATCCCCTAGATGATAGGTCTTTTGGAAAAGGCCAATCAGATGTGACTGTCGAGGTGGCTTGACAATATCCTTCTGGATGGTTTTAATAATAGTATTTTGTTTTCTTAAGAACAGCACTTTATAGTGAATTAAAAAAAAAACGCTGCCATGACTTTTTGGCTGGCTGTGTTTTAAATGGGCTGTCCTGTGTGTGTGTACATCATTAATACAACCCCTTGGCTGGGAGGTGGGTGTGTATCAAGACAATTGGATGATGGACTGGATACTTACTTTCTCACAATTGGGCATTTTATATTAGGTAGATCAGAGTCCTAAAAGCCCTCTTGTTTCATTATTGCGTATATTTTTCCTTGTGGGGATTTTAAAGAATTTGATGGTATAGTCAGAGATAATGTAAAAAGCAATGTCTGGTAATAATTTATTAATGTGATTAGTTCTATGGAAGACTCAGGGAACAATTACTTTTAGGGGGTCCATTGGGTATAGGTGTGTAAGTGGATAGAAGAAGGGGTGCTCATGTTGTCAGTGATTGTGGTAAAAGCTATGTTGTACCAAGGGAGTCTTAACATTTCATTCATGATTGAAAGTAATCAAGAAAAGCTGGTGTTTCAGTCAGGATTCATTTGGTTATAAATGATGACAAAACAAATCAGACTGTCTTTAAAAAAGATAACATTTATTGACACATGTAATTGAAAATTCTAGTTCTTCAGGCATAGTTGAATCCAGGTGCTCAAATCATGTTACCACGTTGGAGTCACTCTAAGGAATGCTTTTTCTAAATGGTAGTAAAGAAGGTCTCTGGCAACTCAAGGCTTTTGTAGCTCTTACAACTTAACATTTTAGAGAACCCAGAATACATTCTTTTCTAAAAGCTTCAGCAAAATTCCTGGAGGTTATTCTCATTGGGCTTATTTAGGTCATTTAATTATCCCCAAACCATTAACTGTGGCCAGAAGGAGGATGTGTTCTAATTATCCAGGTCTGGGCAATATTCTTAGCCCTGGAACTGAGAGGTAAGGTCAACTCCAAGTGTTGATTAAAAATGGTGGCAGAGTGGTTTCTTTCAGGAGAGCTTCAAGACCTGTTTCATTACGATTGCTTATTAGTCTTCTGGGATCCTAGGAGCAAAGAGTGGGATGCTTCCTGAATAGAGATTTGGGTGGGAAATTTGAATCGAGACCCATTTTGCCATTTTCACTAAATGATCATGGGCGGGTACTTTCTCTCATGGGGTCTGAGATTCCTTATTTGTAAAGTGAAGAGCTTGGATGAGGTGATTCTGATAATCCTATCTGGCTCAAAGCTTCTACAGTTTTCTCTTTACCCTTGCTAGAAGGATTATTGTAAACATCCAGGGGGAAAAAGTATGTAATGTGCTCCAAACTGGAGGGATTTCTGACTCTCATGTTGATGGTGATGATGATGACAGCAGTCCTGCACTCTATTAGAAACAGCCCCCGGTCCTCACTGCTCTCAGAGACTCTGCTTTAGAGCTCTTCCTCTCACTTTCCCCAACGCTCATCAGCAATGCTGGCAAGACACATTCTGGCTGCTGTAAGGTCACTGGGATAAATGGGAAGGTTGGCCGATTGCCTGAAAATGAGTTTGGCTTAAAAGTTTCTTGCCCAAGAAATGGAAAGAAAAAACCTGCTGGGATAGCCAAGGGGAAAGAGAAGAGTGAGTGACCTCTTTATAAAGAACTGCAGCCCTGGAAATCTGACTAATGGCTGAAGAGGGTACGTGATGATAACTCACAGCGGCCACTTGGATTTAATTATAGCAACATTTGCAGACAATAAGTGGGTCTTGAGTGAAGCCTGCCTATGATATGGCAGTGACAAAAGCTAATCTGGATTTCTAGCCAAAAGGATGGATGAGAAATGACTTGGGAACATTTCCTGTAGAATATTTTTGTTGTTGTTGTTATCACCATGGCCAAATATTTATTAAGGTTCTTGGGGTGAAGATGGTACTGTTCTAAATTGTGGAAAGAGAAGTGGACTTGGAATTAGAAAACCTGGGTTTACTTCTGGAGATTTTACTTATTCACTGGATCTCATTTTCATTATTTCAAAATAGAAGCTGTGTTCTTTGCGGTCTTGAAAATTAGTAATTTTGAGACTACAGGTTCGGCTAAGGTACGTTCTAGTTTTTAAAACATTCTCTGGTTTTTAAACTTCTCTTGCTTACATATAATAAAAGAAGATAAGAGTCTTGACTTTTAGGTACTCCTAATAAAAAGGACTCATAGAGAATGTAGTAGAAAAATTAAAATTCTTAATAATAAGCTGTCAATAGGATCCTAGGAGAAAAATCATGGTCTGAACAGTAAAGTCAAACATTTTTCCAACTTGCTTTCTGTTTATTGAGTATTTATATGTCAGCAGTGTGTTTGGTAATTTATGTACAGATCAATACTGTGGGGTAGGTTTTACTAAACCTGTTTTAAAGGTGAGGTTACTGAAGGTCAGATAGGTTGAATAATTTGCTCAAAAAATTATAGTTTTTAGAATGAACATTAATAAATTTCTAATCTCAAAATTAACTTTCAAGGCTACAAAAAACAAAGCTCTTCACTTTGCAAATGATGAAAATGAGGCTAAGTGAATAAGGAGGAACTCTGGAAATGAACGCAGGTTTTCTAGCTCCAAGTCCAATAGGTAAACTTATGAGGGGTGGAGTGGGAATTCAGGTCTGTCTGAACCAAGGGTTGCTCTCCTAGCACTATGCTATACTTTGGCTCTGTTTCTTTCTCCTTACCGCCTCTCTAGGTCTCGTTAAATGCAGGCAGCTTGGGAGTTTCTGGTCTTAGAAACCATCCTCTAGAAGTAGGTTTCTGCCTGGTATCTGGAATGTTTGAAATCCAAGCTTTGAGAATAGTGAAGGCAAGGCTCTTCTGCAGTTACACAGAGTGTGGAAGCGTCTGGGGAATGGGACCCTAGAGGATGTGGAGTATTGCGGTTAGTAGCTTGCAGTCAGCTAGCACTGCAAGAATATTGGTTGGTGAGGATGTTTGCTCCTTTTCTCTTTCAAACAAACGCCATTTTCTTACGTGCAATGGAGTTGTGCCTTCCAAGAGGATGGTCTTAAAGGGATTCTGATTATATCTCATATCTCTGTAGTATTCATGACCATTAAATGATTATTTTCCTTTGGCTGAATAATGCCTTGTGAAAGAGCTCAATCACTGTATCAGTTAACTTTTTCTGCTTATAAACCTTTCCAAATTTAATGGCTTAAGCAATAAACATAGATTTAGATTATGATTCTATGGATCAGCAGCTCAGGCTGGACTCGGGTAATTCTTCTGGTCTTGGATTGCCTCAGTCTTACATCTACTACCAATCACCTGGGTGGCTTTCTTTTGGGGACTAGTGGGCCATTGGCTGGAGAAATGGGGGCAGCTAGGTCATATGTCTTTCATCATCAAGCAGGATAACCCGGGCTTGTTTACTTGACGTTTGGACAGGATTTCAAGAGAGAGAGGAGAACTGTGCAAGTTCTCTTGAGTATCAAAACTGTCTTAACATTACTTTTGCTGCATTCTATTTGCTGAAACAAGCCACAAAACCCACCCTGATTAAACAAGTTGGGAAATAGCTTTCATCTTTTGATGGGAGCAGTTGCAAAGATACATTGCAAAGGAGAATTCATACAGAAAAGCACTCTGTTGTGTCAATTTTTGTGAACAGTCTACCACACCCATTCCTATTGATATTGAGCTGATGAATGACCACATAGATGTCACAGTTGCTATAGAATAATAGCACCCTGCAATAGAAAATAGGGCATTGTCTTCAGTGAATAGATGGAGCTTTCATTGCAGATTTTTGTCCTTTCTCATTTCAGAAGGAATTTGGGGGGGCTTGCAGAGATTCATGTAGCAGGACAAGGTCAAAGAGAAAATAGAAGGCTTAGGAGCCAGGAGCATAGTTAGTATGAGAATACACAATTTCTTGTATAGTGGCTAGAGGTGGTCTACACATTTGCATCTGGTCTCCTCATAGCCAAAGTACAGAGGAGAACATGATCAGTTGTATGAACAATGGTATCCATAAGAGAAAAGGAGTCTAGCATCTCAGTTCAGTGTTTGGTGTGACAGGTCAGAGTTGGTATGAGTGTAGCTTAGGGAGGGAGCTTTTCTTTGAGCCTCATGGGAAAACTTGTGGGGTAAAATGGACTAAGCAAAATTTGAAAAGAGGCTGAATCAGGGTACTCCAAGTCAATATGTATATATTGAGTATATTTGATAATAACTAAAGCTCACAGTCACATTTTAAAAGTTGTAGGTGCTTTACAAGTTCAAAAGATCTAGTGCATCATCATCTTTTTTGTTGTGGGAAGTCAGGGACCCCAGATGGAGGGACTGGCTGGAGCCAAAGCAGAGGAACATAAATTGTGAAGATTTCATATTAATATGGACATTTATCAGTTCCCAAATAATACTTTTATAATTTCTTATGCCTGTCTTTAATCTCTTAATCCTGTTATCTTTGTAAGCTGAGGATGTACGTCACCTCAGGACCACTGTGATAAGTGTGTTAACTGTACAAATTGATTGTAAAACATATGTGTTTGAACAATATGAAATCAGTGCACCTTGAAAAAGAACAGAATAACAGCAATTTTTATGGAATGAGGGAAGACAACCATAAGGTCTGACTGCCTGCGGGGTCTGGCAAAAAGAGCCATATTTTTCTTCTTGCAGAGAGCCTATAAACAGACGTGCAAGTAGGAAAGATATCGCTAAATTCTTTTCCTAGCAAGGAATATTAATATTAATACCCTGGGAAAAGAATGCGTTCCTAGGGGGAGGTCTATGAACGGCCACTCTGGGAATGTCTGTCTTGTGCAGTTGAGATAAGGACTGAGATACTCCCTGGTCTCCTGCAGAACCCTCAGGCTTACTAGGGTGGGGAAAAACTCCGCCCTGGTAAATCTGTGGTTAGACCGGTTCTCTGCTCTCGAACCCTGCTTTCTGTTGTTTAAGATGTTTATCAAGACAATATGTGCACTGCTGAACATAGACCCTTATCAGTGGTTCTGCTTTTGCCCTTTGCCTTGTGATCGTTGTTAGACCCTTATTAGTAGTTCTGCTTTTTGACCTTTGAAGCATGTGATCTTTGTACCTACTCCCTGTTCTTACACCCCCTCCCCTTTTGAAACCCTTAATAAAAACTTGCTGGCCTGAGACTCAGGCAGGCATCAAAGTCCTACCGATACGTGATGTCACTCCCGGCGGCCCAGATGTAAAATTCCTCTCTTTATACTGTCTCTCTTTATTTCTCAGCCAGCTGACACTTATGGAAAATAGAAAGAACCTACGTTGAAATACTGGGGGTGGGTTCCCCCAATACTTTTTTTTTTTTTTTTGAGACAGAGTCTCGCTCTGTCACCCAGGCTAGAGTGCAATGACACAATCTCGGCTCACTGCAAGCTCTGCCTCCCGGGTTCATGCCATTCTGCCTCAGCCTCCTGAGTAGCTGGGACTACAGGTGCCCGCCACCATGCCCGGCTAATTTTTTGTATTTTTAGTAGAGACAGAGTTTCACCGTGTTAGCCAGGGTGGCCTCGATCTCCTGACCTTGTGATCCGCCCCACCTTGGCCTCCCAAAGTGCTGGGATTACAGGTGTGAGCCACTGCACCCAGCCTCATCTTTTTATTGGCACTAACAATGAGATAAGTAGGGAAGATATTATAATATAACCCTTATTTAACACATAAGGAAACTCAGAGAGGTCAAGTGACTTGCTCAAGGTCATATGGTATAATAATACATGTTGTCTAACTTCTGTGACACTGAGTTGTGTCAGAAATATTGGATGAGATGCTTTGGAAGATACAGAGGAGTGGCATGGTCTCAAACTATGAAATCTTCAGGGAGGAAAAGACTTAATAATGGTAAAAATAAGAATAAAAGTGCTTTTATCTTGCCTTCTTTTTTATATGTATTATTTCTGTTAATCTTTGCGCAGCCTCTTTGAGTTATTATTTCCATTTTACAGATGCTAACCAGAGGCTCAAAGAGTATAAAAACTTGACTATCTTTTCCAAGATGGTAGTGGCAATGTTGGTTTGTAATCCCAGGTCTCTCTTAGATCAAATTCTGGAGACTTCCCACTAATGGATGCTGGCTGAGACACAGGTACACTTGATATTAGTAGGGGACACTATAAGATAGTGTATAACAATATGCAAATAGAGTCTTAGGAAATCAGAAGAAGCAGAGGCCAGGACAAATGATCTTCACAGGAGAGAATTCAAGAAGGAACACAGAATTCGCTAACACTCAAAGGATTGACAATGATGCCCATGGGAACAGAAGGCCAAAGTGTAGGCCAGGCAGGGGAATGGCACCAGGATAGTGGGTGATGTGCGTTCAGAGTAACCATGGATGAGCATTACTTTTTAAAATTTATTCAACTTATTGAATGAAGACTTATTGAGAACTAATGGTGAAAACAAAGATGAATTAGATCTGACCTGGCCCTCAAAAAACTCGAGATAAACATCAAAAACCATAAGGAAGGTTGTGGGAACTGAGGTGAAGGAAGTACTGGTTAGCCAAATAGTGATAAAATTGTCAGGATGAGGATCTTGAGCTTGATTTTATTGAGATAAGGAAGAAAGAAAACACACATACAAACGAAAACAAAAAGAATAAAAGAGAAAAACCTGTATGTAAATATAAGTATTCTGTAAGTCAGATGACAAGTGTAAGGAGAAAACAGTCTTAACGTCAACTATTGAATAGTCTGAATTCGATTATTGAATAGACTAACAACAGTCTTAATGTCAACTCTGCTAGCTGAGTGTCCCGAAGAGGCTACAGGTCCAGATACTAGGCCAAACTGTGGCAGAGAGTTCGAGAATCTTGAATGCAGGAGATGGCTGCAGATTTCCTTGGCACCATCATGAGCCTTGGCCTGAAAACAATAGTTAGAGCTAAAATATGTATTTATGTGACTTTCTTAAAAAAAAGTCACATTGTTTTCTCTGATAGATGTAATATATGTGCATTGTAAAAAAATTTTTTAATACAGAAAAGAACAAAGGTAAAAATCATTCATAACTATACCATCCAGAGAGGAACATTGTGAACCTTTTAAAGAGCTCCCTCTAGACATTTTTCCTAGTCATGTGTCTTATATAGCTGTATTCATCTATTTCCTCTTATGTGTGGTTTAGAGAGTGATAGCTCAATCCTTGCCCTTATCTCTGAAAACTTTTTTAGGAGTCTTAGACGTGGAATCACTTGGTTTCGTTAAGGATAGTCTTATTACTAAAATTATTTCTAGGAAAGGTTTAGCAATTTTTACTCTCACCATATATGAGAATGCTCATCTTAATGCACCGTTGCCAGTCTTGAGTTGTATCATTAAAAATAAATCTATTCCCCAAACCCCATAAACCCAGTATAATCATGCATCAGGCAAATCCAAGAGGGAGACATTCTACAAAATACCTGATTAGTGCTCCTCAAAACTGTCAAAGTCATCAACAACAAGGAAAATCTGAAAAACTGTCACAGCCAAGAGGAGCCTAAGGAGACATGATAACTACATGCAATATGGTCTCCTGGATGGGATCTGGGAACAGAAATGTTAGGTCAAATCAAGGAAATCTGAATATGGAGTTAATAAATAATAGTGTATCAATATTGATTAATAATTTGTCTCAAGTTTACCATACTAATGGAAGATGCTTATAATAGGGGAAACTGGGTGTGGGATGTATCTTCACAATTTTTCTGTAAATTTAAAGGTGTTCTAAACTAAGTTTATTAAAAAATAAAGCATGCACACAAGCAAAAGTGTAACAAATGAAGTCACTGATGTGAACAGATAACTATGACTGCATTTCTGAAATTTGCTAATATTGCTAGTCTATACCTAACATAATGATTTGTGATCTCTAAGGTTTTCTTGAAATAACCAGAGATCACAGATGAAATTGCAGAAGATAATCATATATAATACATATTAGGTTGAAAGTATGGTGCTTAAGAACATAGAGACTGGAATCAGAATGCCTCAGTTTAAACCCTGGTTCTATTATTTACCAGCTCTATGATCTTGGGTTAGTTATCTCATTAATCTGTGCCTTGGTTTTTGAGTCTGTAAACTAATGATAAAATACTTCAGTGGGTTTCTCTGAGAATAAAATATGTTGATATTTGTACAACAATGCCAGGCAGTTAGTGCTATAAAAATGTTTAATAGTGAGAAAAAAATAAGTCTGTTAATTTACTTATGGTACAAACATTTATTGAGCACCCCTGTGTACCAGGCATTATGTTAAGTGTTAAGGACAATTGTGAAAAAGAGAGACAATGCTCCTGCCCTCAAGGAGTTTACTGTTTAATTGGCATAGAGAGACAATAAACAAACAAGTAATTTTATATTGCAATAGTGCTAGGAAAGAAATAACAAGCCCAAAGTGATGGTAAAAAAGATGCCTTAGTTGGCTGGGCGTGGTGGCTCATGCCTGTAATCCCAGCACTTTGGGAGTCTGAGGCGGGTGGATCACGAGGTCAGGAGTTCGAGACCAGTCTGGCCAACATAGTGAAACCCCGTCTCTATTAAAAATACAAAAAAAATTAGTCAGGCATGGTGATGTGTGCCTGTAATCCCAGCTACTTGGGAGGCTGAGGCAGGAGAATTGTGTGAACCTGGGAGGCAGAGGTTGCAGTGAGCTGAGATCATGCCACTGCACTCCAGTCTGGGTGACAGAACGAGACTCCATCTCAAAAAAAAAAAGAAAAAAAAAGAATAAATGCTTTATTTATATTTATTTGACTCCTTGTGATAATGAATATGTATTAATATTTTTGTTAATGACTTAGTCTTTTGTCAATTGTGTGTGCCTTTTGTCTGTGTTTCTGTTGTGTGATTTTTTTTACACTGATTTGTAAGGGCTGTTATTTATTTATTAGTGGTGCTAATCTTTTCCCTAGTTTTATATTTGCCTTTTATTTTTTTGAGACAGGGTCTCACTCTGTTGCCCAGGCTGGAGTGCAGTAGTATGATCATGGCTCACTGCAGCCTTGACCTCACCTCACCAGTAGAGACAGAATTTTATTACACCGTGTTGCCCAGGCTGGTCTCAAATTCCTGGACTCAATTGATCCGCCTGCCTCAGCCTCCCAAAGTGCTGGGATTACAGGTGAGAGCCACTGTGCCTGGTCTACTTTTGTTTTAAATATATATACATGCAAGATTTAAATTTTCATGAGGGCCGCTTTATCCCACTTTTCTTTGAGACTTCCTCCATTGCTTTTACAAGAAAAGCATAACATTTTTCTTCAATCCCCAAACATGTTTTCTAATATATTTTTCTTTCAAATATTTCCTGAGTTCATTTTTTACATTTAGCTCTTTTATTCATCTGAGTTTTATTTCTGGATAAATGTGATGTAAAGATTCAGACAGAAATTTTTTCTAAATCTGGTCAATTTCTTGAATAATCCTTTTTCCTTCTATTTACTTGTGAAGTTATTATCATTTCCTAAATTCTTTTACATACTAGAGGTTTATTTCTGTAATTTCTATCATATTTCTCTGGTTTTAAAAACATTACCATACTGTTTTGATTACTGTATCTCTATGGAATATTTTATTATTGATATGGCAGTTGCTACCTCCTCACCTTTTCTCCTCCAAAATGTTCAGTTATTACTACCAATATTTTCTTTCAGATAAACTCCTAAGTTATTTTGACAAACCCATAAAAGTCCAACTAAGTGATTGGAATTTTATCAACATCTTATACTATATTGAATAGAGTTTTTGTGTTTCCAACATTACAATTAATGTTCCATCGAGGAACATATTACATTTGTTAATTTGTAAGATTTTCCTTCTTATTTCTATATAAAATCTTCCCCAAATAAATTATTAAATATTTAACTCTATTTTCACTTATTTGAATTGAAATGTAATTAAATATTCAATGCTTATGTGAATTTCAACGTAGTATATCTACTCACTTTTATTTATTAGTATGTCTATTCTATGGTTTTAATCATTATACTTGTGTAGTACATCTTGATATCTGGTGGTGCAAGTTACCTTTTATTATATTTACTTTTTTTCACTTAAAAATTGATACACAATAGTTGCACATATGTAATATCACTATTTGTTTTCAAAATAGAGATACTCCATTCGTATTTTTCTTTTTTTCCTTCTATGAGATTTGCTTTGCTGTTCTTCATTTCTAACTTCTTTTGCTACTGATTAGTTGTTTTATTTTCAGTCTTTTCTTGATATCATTTTTAAGGCTGTGAATCTGGCTCCAGTGATAAATTTGGCTGCACTGCATAAATTTGTAATGTAATATGTCCACTATTCCTATTCTCTAATTACACTGTAATTTGGATTTGCCATTAATGATTATTTACAACATAATTTTTAAGATTTCAAAACAGTTGTTTTTCTTTATTTGCATAAACATTCTTTTAATTTTAAATTTCATTATGCCGCAGTCAAAAAATGTGACTTGTACAATTGATGATTTGGGGGATTCATGTGGTTTTTCATGATTAAACTTTGTGTTCCCAACATAAAAAAAATGATAAATGTTTGAGATGATGGATATGATAATTACCCTGATCTGATCACTAGACATTGTGTGTATCAAAGCATCACTATGTACCCCATGTATACAATTATGATGTGTCAATTAAAAAAACTTTCAAGGCCAGGCACTGTAGCTTAGGCCTGTAATCCCAGCACTTTGGGAGGCTGAGGTGGGCGGATCACTTGAGGTCAGGAGCCTGGCCAACATGGAGAAACCCTGTCTCTACTAAATACACAAAAATTAGCCAGCCGTGATGGCAAGCGCCTGTAGTCCCAGCTACTCAGGAAGCTGAGGCCCAAGAATAGCTTGAACCTGCGAGGCAGAGGCTGCAGTGAGTCAAGATAGTGCCATCGTACTCCAGCCTGGATGACAAAGCGAGACTCTGTCTCAAAAAGAAAAAAAGAAAAAAACAAAAATCTTTCAAGAAAATTTATACATCTAGAAAAAATTAAATAGCACAAATGAGTTTGTCTGAAAAGCAAGAGTTAACCTGTCAACCTTTTCTTATTCTTACTCTGTCTCTTGCCTTTGTGTTTTTACTTTCTTTGGGGATTGTTTTCACACCTCCTTATAATGTGTTTATGCTGCCATTACTTGATTTATCAATTGTAGGTAATATTAATTGACTCTGCACTATGGACAGTGAGAATTAACATCCTTACATTATTTATTTTCCCTTTCCCAATTTCTAATAGTTAAATGAAACTTTTCAGTTCTTTTATTAATTACTGTAAAAATTTTACAACATTAAATATCTTTCTCATGTATATTTACAAGTTTTGTTTTTAGATATTTTGATATTATTCACCACTTATATAACCACGATTGTTCTACCTTCAATATGTGTTGTGACCATTATCACTATATATTGGCATTTTCTCTTACATTGCATTTTTTGCCTTAAATTCTTATTTTTTTGATATTAATAGTCATCTCTGCTCTTCTCTTTTGTTTTTCTCTTTTTTGACCAACACTTTTGTTAATCTCTCCAAAGCATTCTTGCTGAGAATATGAATTTGATCTCTTACCTAATGTTAAGAATTTTCTTAACATATTATAATTTAGACTTATCTTACCTGGTGTTAAGAATTTCACCTAGTGTTGAGAATCTTCTTAACTGACATCCTTGAGAGTCTTCTTAACACTAGGTAAGAGAAGTCTAAATTATAATATGGAAGTCTAAATTAGGTATATTTTGATAATGACATGTCTGTCATTTATTTTTATTTTTTTTAAAACTTTTTTTGATTTCCAATTTTTTGCTCTATGGACATTGATTTCTTTGGTTTTAGTAATCCTACTTCTATCTATATTACTCTACAAATCAACGTAACAATTTTAATTTTTCCGACATATAGTAATGAAATAAACATGTTTTTGCTACTCTTATCTTTTCCCCTACCCATTTCCGGACTCTGATAACACTGTCTATTGACACAGAGCTATTATTAAATTATCTTTTTCACTTTTGTATTTATTTTCTTTTAAGATAATATTCTATTTTCTAGCCACATTTATAATACTTGGTTACCCTGAGTTCTATGTTTACTGATTTCACATAATGTCCAGTTTTTTAATACTATGGAAGTTTCATTTTTGACTTTTTTGTTTTGAGTTAACTCTTGATGAGTTAGGATCTATCTTCAAGTACTTTTTTACTTTTTCTGAGTTGTATCTGGGTCATAATCTCTATTAGTCCTATTTTTGTCAGAGAATATCTTCCTAGTTTTTCTGATTGAGTCACTTTTAATCACTGTGTCATTATTTAGTCATTATTTATGTATATAAACATATTTATACACACATTTATTTATTATATTGATATATTTATTATGGGAATTGGCTCAGGTGATTATGAATGCCAAGAAGTTTCACCATCTGCCGTCTATAAGCTGAGAACCAGGAGAGCTAGTGGTGTAATTCAGTTTGAGTTCAAAGGCCTGAGAACCAGAAACTCTGATGTCCGAGGGCCAGAGAAGATGAATGTCCCAGTTCAAGAAGAGGGAAAACTCACTCTTCTTTAGCCTTTTTGTTCTACTGAGGCCCTCAATGGGTTGGATGATGACCGCCCACATTGGTGAGGGTGGATCTTCTTTACTCAGTCTACTGATTTAAATGCTAATCTCTTCTGGGAACACCTCCACAAATACACCCAGAAATCTTGTTTTACCAGATATCTGGGCATCCCTTAGCTCAGTTAACTTGACACATAAAATTGACCATCACAGTTACCATGTTTTTCCTTTAAAAAACTGAAGAATTTGCTCTATTTTTTTTTTTTTTTTTTTTTGGTGTTTAGTTTTAAGGAGAAATCTGAGAAGACTCTATGTTTTTATATTTTAAAATAATTTATATTTGTTTTATGTTTGGCAATTGTTCTTTCTGGCTGTTGCCCTCTTTTTAATCAGTGTTGACTGGTACTTTTAAATCTTTTTATTTAGTAGACATAAATTTTTCTTTAATGCTGGAAGGTTTTTTTCCCCCACCTTTATCTTTGATTTTTGCTCTATTTCAATTTTGTTCCATTTATTTTGGCCTCATTTTTAGGAATATCAACTATCTGCAGATTTGATTTCTTTTCTCACCTCTACATCTATCCATCTTCTCTCATTTTATTTTCTTCTCTTCCCTGCCATTTGCATTTTTGAAGGATTTTCCAGATTTGTTTTTAGGCAATTAATTTGATTTTCTACAGTGTCTATGATTATATTTTCTGCTTCTAATGTAGATTTTAATTGTGTTATTTCATTTCTAGTTTCCTTCTCATCTCAGCAAGCTTATCTTTATGTCTCTGTATTTCGTTCACCTATTTTTAAAGTTGCATCTAACACCTGATACTCTCAATTTTTATTTGCTTAATGGTATCTGTGTTCTTTTGAACCTAATTAAAAACTAAAATTTATGATTTCTACATTTCTTTAGTCTTCTGTATAAATAATTTTCAGAAGACAGCTGTTTGAATCAGTCAGGGTTCTTAGTTTAATGTGGAAGAAACTGACTTTGGCTAATTTAAGTTGAGAGTATTGATGTTGGGTAGTCTCTGGATTGTTGAATAGAGGGCATGCACTGGATAACTGAACCTAGAGGTGACATGGCTGGAATCCTGTAAAATCACACCGCAGAACTGGTCAGGTGAGCATTATCCGCTATTTTTGCCAAGCACCCAGTGCCACAGCTTCCACCTCTGTCATTATTTCCTCCAGAAACTATGTTGCTGCCATGGTTGCCCTTCTGCCATCCAAATGGATTCTCCACTGTTCTGCTTTTTGCATCACTAGACACTGGTTCGTAGTTCAGGAAGCATGCACATGATTGGCTGAACCTAGATTACATGTCCGTGGTCTAACTGCAAGTATGTCTGGTAAAGCAAGTTTCTGATCTTTCAGCAACAGTAGTAGAAGGTGTCCTCTGTCTCCCACCAAGGCCTATAAAGACAGTGAAAACGTGAACAAAGAATGGACAGTCAATACAGTAGGGTCCATTATATTCTTCTTTGTATCCTGAGTGCTGTGCTATTTTTCCTTCCGTTTCAGAAACTTCTAAATTCTCAAGCTTGATTTTTACATCTTTCAAATGAGTATATTCCTTTTAACAAAGATATATATAGCAGAGCTTGACATTTGCCAAAAAACAAAGTGAGTAGAGTTCTTTGGTCCCTGGCTCTGCTGGTGATTACTTTTCAAAACCTTCTTTTGCCTTTTGAAATACTAAGCATGGTGGGCAGTGTGGGAGAAAGCTTTCCCACAGGAATAATTTATATTTTTTATCCACTTTGGTTATTGTTGAAGTATCAAAGGTAGAGTAAAAAAGGAGAGGTATCTCTCAGCCTGAACTGAAACAGCTATCTTTTGGAATAAGCACATTAGGTTTCTTCCTTTAATGGCCAATATCATACTGAATGGGCAAGAGCTGGAAGCATTCCCCTAGAAAACTTGCACAAGACAAGGATACCCGCTCTCACCACTCCTATTCAACATAGTATTGGAAGTTCAGGCCATGGCAAGCAGGCAAGAGAGCAAAATAAGCATATTCAAATAGGAAGAGAGAAAGTCAAATTGTCTTTGTTTGCAGATAACATGATCTTATAGCTAGAAAACGCCATTGTCTCAGCCTAAAAGCTTCTTGAGCTGATAAGCAACTTCAGCAAAGTCTCAGGATACAAAAATCAATGTGTAAAAATCACAAGTATTCCTATACACCAACAATACACAAGCAGACTGTCAAATCATGAAAGAACTCTCATGCACAATTGAAATAATATTTTAGTAGGCTGTAAGCTTAATTTAAGTTGAGGAGCATCTGTATTATGTGAAGTGTCTGTTCAAGTCTTTTGTTCACAATTCTGTCAGTTTTCTCATTGAGTTGTAAGAATTCTTTATGTATTCTGAATACTAGCTCTTTGTCAGATTACAAATATTTTATCCCATTATATGGCTTATCTCTTCATTTTTTCAAGGTGTCTAGATAAACAAAACTTTCAGGTTTTGATGAAATCTAATTTACCAATTTATTTGAATGGTTTGTGGTTTTGTGTCCTATCTGAGAAATTATTATCTACCCTGAGGTTGCAAGGATTTTCTTCTTTGCTTCTCTTTTGTTCCATCACATTTAGGCCTATGGACAATTTTGATTAATTTTGGTTTATGATATAAGGTAAGGGTCAATGTTAATTTTTTCACCTAAGGGTATCTACTTGTTCCAGCACAATTTGGGGAGAAAACTTTCATTTCTTTTTAAAATTACCTCAGCACCTTTATTGAAAACTAATCAAATATATATGAATTTATTCCTTGGTTCTATATTCTATACAAATTGATCTATATGTCTATCTTTTTGGCACTACTACATTGTTTTGATTACTGGGTCTTAAGAGTAAGACTCAAAATCAGGCAGTGTAAGTATACCAATTTTTTCTTCTATTTCAAAAATGCTTTTTATTTTCTAAGTCATTTTGATTTCCATATAAAATGTATAATTAACTTGTAATTTTCTACCAAAAAGTTCTGCTGAAATTTTTTGGCATTATGTTAAAACCATAGATACATTTGGAAAGAGACATCTTAATTATATTGTCTTCTAATCCATGAACATGGTATACCTCTCCATTTATTTAGATCTTTGCTAATTTATCTCAGCAAAATTTTGTTCTTTTTGTTATAGGAGTCTTGTCTCACTTGTTAAATTTATTCCTAAAGATATTATATTTATTTCGTGCTATTATAAATGCAATTTTGAAAATTTGTGTTCCAATTGTATGCTGGCAATATGTAAAAATTCAATTAATGTTGATTTTATCTTGATTTTTAAAAATTTAATTCTATAATCTGAGATCTTGATAAATTCCCTCGTTAGTTCTAGTAGTTTTTTGGTATCATCCTGAGGGTTTTTTACATAAGTAGTCATGTTATTTGCAAATAGAGACAGTTTTATTTATTCCCGTCTAATCATTATTCTTTTTATGGCTGTGTAGTATTCCATAGTTTATATGTACTACATTTTCTTTATCCAATCTACCACATTTAGGTTGGTTTCATGTCTTTGCTCTTGTGAATAGTGCTGAAATGAACATATGCGTACACGTGTCTTTAGAGTAAAATGATTTATATTCCTTTGGGTGTATACCCAGAAATAGGATTGCTGGGACAAATGGTAGTTTTGTTTTTAGCTCTTTGAGGAATTGCCACACTGCTTTCCACATGAACAATTTACATTCCCACCAACAGCATGTAAGTGTTCCTTTTCTCCACAACCTTGCCAGCATCTATTATTTTTTGACTTTTTAGTAATAGTCATTCTGACTAGTGTGAGATGATATCTCACTGTGGTTTTGATTTGCATTTCTCTAATGATCAGTGATAATGAGCTTTTAAAAATATGGTTGTTGGCTGCATGTATGTCTTCTTTTGAAAACTGTCTTTTCATGTCCTTTGCCCACGTTTTAATGGGGTTGTTTTTTTCTTGTAAATTTGTTTAAATTTTTTATAGATGCTAGTTATTATACCTTGGTCAGGTACATAATTTGCAAAAATTTTCTCCCATTTTGTAGGTTGTCTGTTTACTCTTTTGACAGTTTATTTTGCTGTTCAGAAGCTCTAAAATTTAATTAGATCCCATTTATTAATTTTTGCTTTTGTTGCAATTGCTTTTGGTGATTTCATCATGAAATATTTGCCAGTTCCTATGTCCAGAATGTCATTGCCTAAGTTGCCTTCTAGGTTTTTTTTATAGTTTTCAGTTTTACATTTAAGTCTTTAGTCCATCTTGAGTTGGTTCTTCTATATGGTGTAAGGAAGGGGTCCATTTTCAGTTTTCTGCATATGGTTAGCCAGTTATCCCAGCATCATTTATTAAGTAGGGTGTCTTTTCCCGATTGTTTGTTTTTGTCAAAAAAATCAGATGGTTATAGATGTGTGGCCTTATTTCCTGGCTCTCTATTCTGTTTTATTGGCCTATAACTAAAACAGCATAGTACTGGTACAAAAACAGTATGACATTGGGCAACAAGATGCCTGCAACTTTGTTCTTTTTGCTTAGGATTGCCTTGGCCATTTGGGCTCTTTTTTGGTTCCACATGAATTTTAAAATAGTTTTTTCTAGTTCTGTGAATAATTTCATTGGTAGTTTGATAGAAACAGCATCAAATCTGCAAATTTATTTGGGCAGTATGGCCATTTTAAATATATTTAGTTATATTGATTCTGCATATCCATGAACATGGAATGTTTTTCCATTTGTGTCATCTCTGATTTCCTTGAGCAATGTTTTGTAATTCTCATTGTAGAGATCTTTCATCTCTCTGGTTAGCTGTATTCTTAGGTATTTTATTCTTTTTGTTGTAATTGTGAATGGGATTTGTGTTTCTGATTTGGTTTTTGTCTTCGCTGTTGTCGAGTGTGTAGCAATGCTAGTGATTTTTGTATGTTGATTTTCTATCCTGAAACTTTGCTGAAGTTGTTTATCAGCTAAAAAAGCTTTTGGGCCAAGACTATGAGGTTTTCTAGATACAGAATCATGATCATATCATCTGCAAACAGGAATAAGTTTGTCTTCTACTCTTCTTATTTGGATGCCCTTTATTTCTCTTCCCTGATTGCTCTGGCCAGAACTTCCAATACTAAGTTGAATAGGAGTGGTGAGAGGGGGTCATCCTTATCTTGTGCCAGTTTTCTTTTTTTTTTTTTCTGAGAGGGAATCTCACTCTGTCACCAGGCTGGAGTGCAGTGGCGTGATCTCGGCTCACTGCAACCTCTGCCTCCTGGGTTCAAGTGATTCCCCTGCCTCAGCCTCCTGATGAGCTGGGACTACAGGCGCATGCCACCACACCTGGTTAATTTTTTATATTTTGGTAGAGACGGGATTTCACCATGTTGGCCAGGATGGTCTTGATCTCCCGACCTCGTGACCTGCCTGCCTTGGCCTCCCAGAGTGCTGGGATTACAGGTGTAAGACACCGCACCTGGCCATTTTGTGCCAGTTTTCAAGGGGAATGCTTCCAGCTTCTGCCCATTTGGTGTGATGTTGGCTGTGGGTTTGTCATAGATGGCTCTTATTATTTTGAAGTATGTTACTTCAGTACTGAATTTATTGAGAGTTTTTAGCATGAATGGATGTTGACTTTTATTGAAAGCCTTTTCTGTATCTATTGAGGTAACCACATGGTTTTTGTCTTAAGTTCTGTTTATGTAATGAATCACATTTATCGATTCACATATGTTGAACCAACCTTGCATCCCAGGGAATAAAGCCTATTTGGTCGTGGTAGATCATGATTTTTGAAGTGCTACTGGATTTGGTTTGCAGTATTTTGTTAAGGATTTTTGCATCAAACTTCGTTAAGGATATTGGCCTGAAGTTTTATTTTTTTGTTATATCTCTGTCAGGTTTTGATATTAGGATGATGCTGGCCTCATAGAATGAGTTGTGGCGGAGTCCCTCCTAATTTTTTGGAATAGTTTTAGTAGGAATGGTACCATCTCTTCTTTGTACATCTGGTAGAATTCGTCTGTGAATTCATCTGGCCCTGGGTTGAGTTTTTTTGTTTTGTTTTGGTTTTGGTTGGTAGGCTATTTATTACTGATTCAGTTTTGGAGCTCATTATTGTCTGTTCAGGAATTCAGTTTATTCCTGGTTCAGTCTTGCGTGTGTCCTGGAATTTATCCAACTCTTCTAGTTTTTGTGCTTGTGTGCATAGAGATGTTCATAGTAATCTGTGATGATTATTCATATTTCTGTGGGGTTAGTGACAACATCCCCCTTTTCAAGTCTGATTGTGTTTATTTGGATCTTTTCTCTTTTCTGCTTTATTAGTGTAGCTAGTGGCCTGTCTTATTGATTTTTTTTAAAAAGCCAACTCCCAGATTTATTAATCTCTAAAATTTTTTTTTGTTTGATATCCTTTGGTTCAACTCTGATTTTGGTTATTTATCTTCTGCTAGCTTTGGGGTTGGTTTCCTCTTGCTTCTCTAGTTCTTTTAGTTTTGATATTAGTTGTTAATTTGAGTTCTTTCTAACTTTTTGATGTGGGTGTTTAGTGCTATAAATTTCCCTCTTAA